>NC_000013.11:81464918-81617759 GCF_000001405.40 Homo sapiens
GCCTGATGTTCCTCTGGAAGTTTTGTTTCAGAGGAGTATCCAGCCATGTGAAGTGTCAGTCCGCCCCTACTGGGGGGTGCCTCCCAGTTAGGCTACTCAGGGGTCAGGGACCCACTTGAGGAGGCAATCTGCCCGTTCTCAGATCTCAAGCTGCGTGCTGGGAGAACCACTACTCTCTTCAAAGCTCAGTTGGAAATGCAGAAATCACCTGTCTTCTGCATCACTCACGCTGGGAGCTGTAGACTGGAGCTGTTCCTATTCAGCCATCTTGGCTCCTCGCCCAGAGTCTCGATTGGGTGAACTATTAACCTCCCATCATATATGGTATATTAAACCATTTTTATTAAGGAAATAATTAGGAATATAAAATGAAAAAATATGTTTTGCAAAGATTAGGTGTTTTATAATTTACAATTATAAAATAAGTAGCAACATGTATGCCTCATTTTAAAGCAACTCTACACTGTGCTTTTATTATAACATTATATCTGATTTTATAAACAAGCAGTTTTAGATTTCTTTGTCTGATTTTTCTTATTCGGCTCCACTGTATCAGTATTTTGCAATCCATATAGGGCCACGATATGGCATTCATAATTTAGTATGACTAAATTGTTGCAAACAAATGTGTAGGCAGTAAACAATTATAGTAATTTGTGTTTTACCATTGGTGGAATAGTAATATCAAGGATCTAACACAGTAAATATATGTAGTGAAATATGCATGGTTCCAGCGATCTTATGTGAGGGAAGTGAAGATGTAGGCTCTGAGAATAAATAAATCTGTAATTGGAAACAGATTTAATTAGTTACTATCAGTTTGACTTTGCACAAGTCATGTAATCTTTCAAAGTCCTGGTTTTCCAAACTGTAAAGTTCATGATAATGTTGGTGCCCAATGAAGGTTGTTACATGATGAAATGAAAGAATGCATGCCAAGATTTCCATATTGCCCTGTTCCAGAAAACTCAAAAGATGTTAGCCCTGATTGTGAAGTCACTGGATGTTCGTGATGTCAATGTCTAATGAAATTAAAATCGATATTTTAAAAAACAGTCCATTGGAGAATGACTGGAAAATGGTATCTATCTTTTATTGTTTCATAATTTATTATGTGTTGTTTTGTTGTTTTATTTTGTTTCATTTTCATTTTTTGTTTTCCCAATACTGTTTGATTGAATACGGAGCATTTTTATAAGCTGGGAAGCCATTTTTCTATATTTAAATTTATTTTCTATCTGGCTCTTATACCAAACTCTTTTTCTAAAGTTCAGGTGAATACTGCCCAAAATTAAATACTTGAAGAGTGTTTTAAAATTATAAAGAGCAAAACTGCCGATTCTTACAACATCTATATTGTGTAATCCAAAACTATATGAAAAAAATATAGAGTAGAATTGTTTTACTAGTTATACATAACTCTAGGAGAATCACTGCCCTCCAAGATAATCACACAAACACCAGTTCCTTGGAATTGTTTTGATGTATAGGTCATTTTGCTATCAGCTTCTACAGTATTAGAGTATAAAATGTGTATGAATCCCTCGTATAATTATGGTCCACATTTTCTATACTCATTTTGAAATATTAGCAGAGCTTAAATATTAGCGGAGCTATAGTCTCAGGACATTTCAGCCTTATGGTCAATTATAAGACAAGCCAAACTTCTTACTTGTATAGAGAGGGGCAGGTTGGAGTGACCTTGATTGTCAACAAGAATGTTAAAATATAATTGTAGGAAGCTCCTTTTCAGAGTCACGTATTTGTTGCTGGTGTTCAAGATGTTGGGCAAAACGATGCTGTGGGTCGAAGTAGACTGCAAACAGTGTCAGAAAAAATAATATCCAAACAGATTAGGGAGAATCATATGGCTAGGGGCTTGAAGAAGTGTAAACTATAGCAAACAGCTGCAGGTATTGTTTTCCTTTTATTTTAAGTCTGTCAGTTTTGCAGCAGCAGGCTACGTAAACAAGAATGGCCCACACTTGTTTTCATGGGATCACAGGCTGTTCCTCTGGGAGATGCTAGGAGAGATGAAACACAGGTTACCATGATTTTGTTGATGTGTCCTACTATTTGATTCTATGTAGAAGGAAACTAAAGGACAGTTGAGGGAGGATTATTCAGATTCCAAATCTCCCTACTTACAAAAAGAAGAATGGATTTTAAAAAGAATTTTAATGACATTGTAGGATTCTAATCTTTAATTTGCATAAATCTGATAATCTGCAGATGATTGCAATGAATTCTTGTTTAGTGTTAGCCTAATTTAACCAATGCAAAACTTATCAAAGAAAACATGGTTGGAAGAAACAGTCTTCACCAATCTAGTATATTAAGAGTAACATTGTCATGTTTTATATTTTAGTTTGAAAACAACAAACTTAATTTTTAAATCAAGTAGAAATCCAGATACACACGCGCACACACACACACACACACACACAGTTAAACTATTTAGAATGCTTCAGTAAAATAGAAATTTCTTTATAGGCAGAATGTACTTTCATATAAAAAATAGGCTCTGTATGTATTTTTTTATGATAAATGTGCAGGGGATTTGAGGACAGAATTCTGAAACGTTATATTGGTTAAATGAGACTGTAGCATTATGTTCCTAATCCCTGGATCCCCATAAACTTGAAATGGTGTTATTTTGTATCGAAACAAGAGAGAAATTATACAAGCAAATGGTTTGCTTTGTGGCTACAAGCTTAAAGTGATGAAATTGCTAAGAGAAAATGCACAAAAATAGTGCACAGGGAGTCAGATAATTGTATTTTTTACCTGTATTGTGTTTTGAGTGACTAGCCTATGAAAAATGTAAGGTTGCACTGCTTTACATAGTTCTCTATAAACACTTTACCTTTCCAAACATCCGTAAAATGTTTGGTGAAAAACAGTTCTCTTTCTTGCTTTATATTCTACTTAGTGTAAAGAGTAGTCCCTCTAAGTAATTTTACGTTTATGTTTGATGGTGAACAACCACTAGTATGGTAAAGAAGTGTTCATTTGACATAGAATTTAAACTGAAGATGCAAAACATTCTCATATAGGCTGAAACATTTTTATTTGTGAGGTCTTTATCTACATTATATAATGATACAAATATATCTAAATAAGTGGATTTTTCATATTATTAGGATTCAGAATTAAATAATAACTACATTTTGTCTCTTTGTATTTGGCTGAATGTATATAGTACATTTTCACCTATTTTCCTTCTAAAATACTGCTCATCACATCTGATATAATTGAATAAAATTGTTAACTATTTATCAAAATGAGTTTTGATATATTTTCAAATGCAACAAGAAATTGGAAAAAAAGATGTACTATGGCTCCTTTTATACTATCTTTTATGTGTTTATAATTTGTTTTATATTACTTGGAAGAAAATTATTTGGCTTCAGGCTTATTCAGTGAGCTCAGGAGTATCCTATAGAAAAAGAAAAAAAATTACCAAAGCACTATTAAAATGTCCAGCATAGCTACTTATTTAAAACAACCCAACAGCTTAGTTTTCTACATGTTATGAAACTTCCTGCTTCAAGAAACACTATAAATACATAGACAGTTTTCCAATTCAGAGAATTAATTTAAAAACTAAATGTGTTTTGCATTTTGTCCTATAGAGTTCGTAGGACTAGCTTCTTTTAACTGAAAAAAAAAAATAGAAAATCTCACTTTACACTATTGTTTTCCTCTGAATTGCTGATTAATTGACTGACTACTTTTTATTTTGTTACTAAATAGTCAATTTAAAATATAGAAAAAGTGTGGAGCAAAATGGTAGAATAAAAGCTTATATTCTTTGTGTTCCTCCCCCCAGCACCCACTGGAATACTGCATTTTAACAACTATCTGTACAAAGAAAAGCATTGCCAGCAAGAATAAAAAATCGGGTGAGCACAGTACCCAGTTTTTTTTTGTTTTTTTTTGTTTTTTTTTAAAGACGGAGTCTCACTCTGTTGCCCAGGCTGGAGTACAGTGGTGCAATCTCGGCTCACTGCAATCTCCACCTCCCGGGTTCACGCCATTCTCCTGCCTCAGCCTCCCAAGTAGCTGGGACTACAGGCACCCACCACCACACCTGGCTAATTTTTTTGTATTTTTAGTAGAGACGGGGTTTCACCGTGTTGGCCAGGATGGTCTCCATCTCCTGACCTCGTGATTCGCCCGCCTTGGCCTCCCAAAGTGCTGGGATTACAGGCGTGAGCCACCGCGCCCGGCCTATAACAACTTTTACAGTTTCTACAAAGCATGTTTATTATATAAATGTTTACGATTTCTACATAATAGTATACAGTTAAAAAAAACTATTGCAATAAAACTTTCTATAATTAAATTAAGAAAATTCATAAACCTTTAGGCATACTAAATAAGAGAGGAAGAGAGTGACCCAAATAAATAAAATCAAAGATGAAAAAGTAGACATTACAGCTGTTACAGCAGAAATTCAAAGGATCATTAATGGCTGCTATAAACAACTATATGCCAATAAATTGGAAAATGAAGAAGAAATGGATACATTTCTAGACACCTACAACCTACCAAGAATGAACCATGAAGAAATCCGGAACCTGAACACACCAATAACAGGTAACAAGATCCCATAATAAAAACTATCCCTGTAAAGAAAAACCCAGGACCTTATGTCTTCACTGCTAAACTCTACCAAACATTTAAAAAAGAATAGAAATCCTACTCAAACTGTTCCAAAACGTAGAGAAGAAAGAAATACTTCCAAACTCATTCTACAAAGCCAGTATTACCTTGATACCAAAACCAAAGACACATCAAAAAAATAAAATTACAGATAAATATCTCTGATGAATGTTAATGCAGAAATCCTCCACAAGATACTAGCAAACCAAATTCAACAATGCATTAAAAGATCATTCATCATGATGAAGTGAGATTTAACCCAGAAATGCAAGAGTGGTTCAACATATGCAAATCAGTCAATATGATACATCATATCAACAGAAGAAAAAACAAACACTATAGGATCATTTCAATTGATGCTGAAAAAGCATTTAATAAAATTCAATCTCGCTGCATGATAAAATCTCCCAAAAAACTGGGCATAGAAGGAGCATATTTCAACATAATAAAAGCCATAGCCATATATGACAGACCCATAGTTAGTATCATTCTGAATGGTGAAAAACTAAAAGCCTTTCCTCTTAGATCTGGAACATGACAAGGATGCCCACTTTCACTACTGTTATTCAACAAAGTACTGGAAGCCCTAGCTAGAGCAGACAAGAGAAGGAAATAAAGGTCATGTGAATTGGAAAGGAAGAAATAACATTATCATTGTTTGCAGATGGTATGATCTGATATATGTTGAAACCTAAAGACTCCACCAGAAAAACTATTAGGACTGATATACAAATTTAGTAAAGTTGCAGGATTCAAGACCAACATACAAAAATCAGTAGCATTTATATATCCCAATAGTGAACCATTTGAAATAGAAATTTTAATATGTAATCCTATTTGCAATAGCCAAACATAAAATTAAATACCTAGGAATAAACTTAACCAAACAATCAAAAGACCTGTGCAGTGAAAACTATAAACACTAATGAAAAAAAATTGAAGAATGCCCCAAAAATTGAAAGATAGTCCATGTTAATGGATTGGAAGAATCAATATTGTTAAAATGTTCTTACTACCCAAAGCAATCTACAGATTCAATGCAATTCCTATCAAAATACCAATCACATTTTTTCACAGAAATAGAAAAAAAATACCAACATTTATATGGAACCATAAAAGGCCCAGAATAGCCAAAGCTATCATGAGCAACAAAACTGGAGGAAATCCATTACCTGACTTCAAAATATACTACAGAGCTGCAATAACCAAATCAGCATGGTATTGGCATAAAAACAGACACATAGATCAGTGGAACAGAGCAGAGAACTCAGGAACAAAGTCACACATGTACAGTGAACTCAATTTTGACAAAGTGCCAAGAACATACATTGGGAAAAAGACAGTCTCTTTAATAAATGGTGCTGGGAAACTGATACCCATATGCAGAAGAATGAAATTAGACCATTTCTTCTGTACCCTGTATCTTACAATATACAACAATCAAATCAAAATACATAAAGACTTAAATCTAAGACCTCAAACTATGAAACTACTACAAGAAAACATTGAGGAGACTCTCCAGGATATTGCCTTGGCAAAACGTTCTTGAGTGATACCCCAAAAGCACAGGCAACCGAAGCAAAAATGGATAAATTGACAAATGGCATTATATCAAGTTAAGAAGCTTCTGCATGGCAAAGGGAATAATCAACAAAGTGAAGAGGCAACCCATAGAATGGGAGAAAATATTTGTGAACTACCCATCTGAAATGATTAATAACCAGAATATGTAAGGAGGGCAAACACTCTATAGGGAAAAATTTAATAATCTGATTTAAAAATGGGCAAAATATTTGAATAAACCTTTCTCAAAATAAGACATACAAATGGAAAAAAAGCAGGCATATGAAAAGGTGCTTAATATTATTGACGATCAGAGAAATGCAAATTAAAACTAAAATGATATATCATCTCACCCCGTTTAAAATGGCTTTAACCCAAAAGTGAGGCAATAACAAATGCTGGCAAGGATGTGGATTAAAGTGAATGCTTGTACACTGTTAGTGGGAATGTAAATTAGTATAACCACTATGTAAGACAGTTTGGAGGTTACTAAAAATAGAACTACTATATGATCCAGCAATCTCATTACTGGGTATATTCCCAAAAGAAAAGAAATCAGTATATCAAAGGTAATCTTAAAACATTTCTAGGATACCTGCACTCCTATATTTGCTGCGGCACTGCTCACAATAGCCAAGATTTGGAAGCAAACTAAGTGTCCATCAACAGATGAATGGATAAAGAAAATGTAGTACTGATACACAATAGAGTACTATTCAGCCAGAAGAAAAGAAAGTGATTCTATCATTTGCAACAACATAGATGGAATGGGAGGACATTGAAATAAGTCAGACACAGAAAGAAAAACATTGTATGTTTTCACTTGTTTGTGACATCAAAAAATAGCAACAATTAAACTAATGGAAATAGATAATAGAAGGATGGTTACCAGAGACTGGCAAGGGTAATGGGGGAGTGGGTGGGAGGTGGGGATGGTTAATGGGTACAAAAAATAGAAAGAAAGGAAAAAACCTAATATTTGATAGCACAACGGGCCACTGTAGTCAACAATCAGTTAAAATACATTTAAAAATAAATAAAATAGTCCAATTGAATTGTTTGTAACACAAAGAATAAATGCTTGAGGGGATGAATATCCAATTTTCCATGATGTGATTATTATGTATTGCATACCTGTACCCAAATATCTCATACATTCCATAAATATCTATACCTATTATGTACCCACAAAAATTTAAAATTAAAATAAAAAGATATTAGATAAGAATTTACTTGAAACTAAAGACACAGAGAAGTGAAGGCACATTTATTTCATCAACCCCAATAAGAAAATCTTTCAAACACCTACAGTATTTTGCCTCCTCCTTGCCTCCAATCCTTAATATATTTGACATAGCAACTTCACTATTTGGTACACTTACATTTATGTTCTTCTTCAGTTTCTTGCCTGCCCATTTGCTTCTCTTGTTTCCTTGATATTTCCCCACTTGATAACATACCCTGATACTAGCTATTGAACAACACCAGCATTTGATTTTTAAGAGTTAATATAAGTAAAAACTTTGGATTATTAAATAAATATTTCTTGTATTAGTACAGCAATTGTTTACTATATACTTCTGTAAGTGTGAAAGATAATGATTCTTCTCTTTCCTCTTTGTAAATGCTAGTCAATGGAATGACTTTGAATTTGAGATCCTTACCCATATCTCAGAAATCAAGATTGCTTGAAGAAATTATCTCAACTTATCTTAGGTTATAGAAAATATAAAAAGGCTTCTTCAGAGAGTATTTATGATGTATTCTTAAGACATTTCTAGGAAATGGAAAGGAGAGCGATGGTGCTCACGCTTAGAAAACACCATTTCTTCCCGTTAGTATTTTTCAGTACTCACTCAAAAAAGGACAAATGCTCTGGCAACATGTGCTTTATTCTCTGCCTTTTAATGTTATTTATGCAATAATTAACTCATTAATTAATTTAATACCTATTGAGTACAATATCTAATGAGCTAGATAATATATATACATTTTGGAAATACAGCAATAAATATGTACTCATGTACAGGCAGGAGTATATATATAATATAAATATGTACTCATGTAGAAGGAGGAGTACATATATAGTATAAACACGTATCTAGTGATAAGTAGGAAGAAGCACTGTATAAAGCAAGGGAAAGTTGATACAGAGCAGAGGGTATGTTTATAGGGTGAGATGGCTTCACAGTATGGCTATACTGAATTAAGTTGTGGAATAAGCCAAGTACTCATACATGCCTGTATCCAGGTAGAGGGCTAAAATGCAGGCAAGAGCATACTTGACGTATTTTAGGAGGAACAATAATGTTATTGTGGCTTTAGCTAAGTAAGACGATCAGAAAATTTTTCTACCAAAGTAACTATTAAGCTGGGCAAAATTGAGAAACAACAAAATAACCCCACAAATATTTCAGTGTTCTCAAAATGGCCCAAAGGTGTATAATAATCAGAGAACTATGCATTCTTGAAAAGCTGTCAAATGTGGAGTCAGAACACAAAGAATCTATGCCTTCCCCCGCAGGCCTATTCCTATCACCACCTCCCTACCCCAGTTGGGTAGGCATGGAGCTTCTACTATGGTGAGACAGTCCATGAGGGATGGCAGCCTCCCTGCCATAGTCTAAGGAAGCTCACTTATTTTCAAGCATTGGGTGATGCAGCTTCATCCTTGATTGCAATGATGATCTCAGATAAGTAAGGAGAGCCAACAGCTTTACTAGCCTGAGGTTTCTGTCTTGGTTGCAGCAAACATATTCTTCGTTGAGTTTGCTCTCCTGTTTAGAGAAGACAGAGAAGGCCTAAGTTAACCCCACACTCCTGGAAAACCCTGAAGCTGTGCTTTTGCACACTGAGGAAGGGCAAAATAGAGCCCACTGAAAAGTACACTCCAGGGCAACCATGAAAACCCCGAAGGCACTTATTACCCACAGAGATCCATTTTCAGCTGAGGGATTTCTTGCTGGATCAAGGCATTTGAGAATAACTTCTCTCCAATCACTGACCACTAAGCTACGCATATAGAGGAGTGAACCCTAGGAAGCCCAGTTTAAAAATACTATCAAGAAAACCCCACAAACAGTAAGAAGGAACATCAGCTGCCACACAATGCAGGGAGACGTATTTCACAGAACTACACTAGGTCCTAAGTAAAGAAACAGCACACAAACCAAAAATCCAGAAGCAGCAGCAAATGTCACAGCAATATATCCAAAAGAAAGAAAATCAGTATGTTGGAGAGATATCTCCACTCCTGTGTTTATTACATCACTATTCACAATAGCCAAGATATCAACGGAAGAATGGATAATGAAAATGTGGTACATATGTACAAGGAAATAGTATTCATCCATAAAATGAATAAAATTATGTCATTTGGAATAATGTGGCTGGAACTGGAGGACATTATATTAAGTGAGATAAGCCAGACACAGAAAGACAAATATTGCATGTTCTTGCTCATATGTGGAAGCTCATGGATATAGAAAGTGTAATAATGTTTACCAGAAGCTGGGAAGAGTAGTGTGGAGAAGGGGATACAGGGGGGCTGATTAATGGGTACAAAAGTATAGTTAGTTAGAGAGTATGAATAAGATCCAGTGTTCAGTAGCACAATAGGGTGACTATAGTTAACAATAATTTATTCTATATTTCAAAATAAATAGATGAGTAGATTTGGAATATTGCCAACACAAATAAGTGATAAATATTTGATTAATTACCTGATTTGATCATTACACATTGTATCATGTATCAAAATATCACATGTACCCAATTAATATGTGGAAGTATTAAGTACCCATAAAAGTTTAAAATCAACATTAAAAACTTTGTAATTCAGAGATACCATGAAGAAAAGAAAAAGACTGGGAGAAAATATTAGCAAACCATATAACAAATCGATTATGATAAAAACAATAAATATGTGTGTAATAAATTTGTAAATACACCTGTACACAGTGGAATGGCTATAATAATACAGACACAATATCAAGTTCTGGTAAGAATGTGGAGAAACTGGAATTCTTATATATTACTGGTGAATGAAAATGGTAAATTCACTTTGGAAAACATAAACTTACCTTATGACCCAGCAACCTGTCTCCTAGAAATCAATCCTAGATAAGTGAAAGAAATACACAGAAATGCAAACATGTAGGTTTTATGGCATTTTTATTCACAATAACTTAACCTTGAAAAACCCTAAATGTAGAATCATCCAAATGGGACACATGCACACAATGGAATTTATTCAGCAATGAAAAAAAATGAACTATGAATACATGCTACATCACAGGTGAGCCTCAAAAATATCATGCTGGGCGAATGAATCTAGACTCCAAAGACCACATATTATATAATTGTGTTCATATAAAATATATATAAAGGGCAAACATATAGACGCAGAAACCCGATTAGCAGTTGCCTAGGATGAGGGGTATAGGACTTGTGTACATAATAACACAAAGTAATTTTGGAGGTAAAATAAATTTTTGGAAGCTGCATTGTGGTAATGATCACAGGACTCTATGGATTTACCAAAGCATCATTATATACTGACAGTGTTTGATGTTTGTCATACGTAAATTTATGCCTTAATGAAGAAAGCTTTAAAAATAAAGAATGAAAGAAAGAAAGCCATCTGGAGCAAAGTAAGCAAGTGGAGAAGGGCAATGTATTAATTTACAATAAACAATAGAATTGATGCTTTGGGAGAAATATATGTATTGACATGACCAACATATTATTTCCCTATAAAGTTACCTGTAAAATCAAATAAAATAAGATCATCAATTTATTAATTTTTAATGAAAAATGTTCTAAGAAATGGTATAATTGAGTATGCACAGATAGACCATTCTATCCTGATAGACACAACTGAACCATGGGAAGATAAATAAAAGGTGAGGATTGTTTAGTGGCATGGTTTAAACAAGAGTAGTCATGTTTAAATAGGTAATGACATCATGCTAGGACAGGTTTATAAATTTATCTCACAATGACAGTAATTCTAGAAATGTGATTAGCATACTTCAAGTTGATTAGCTACAATTTAGTATAGCATTACCACAATGATATCTAAATACTTGAAATCTATTGTCTAAATTAGCATTATGCAACAGAAGTTTCTGTGATGACAGAAGTGTTCTCTGTTCTGTCTAGTATTGTAACCACTAAGGACTGGTGGTTGTTGAGCATTCAGAATCTGGGTAGTGTAGCTAATTAAATTTTTAATTTAAGTAAATTTGAATTAACTTAAAATTAAATTTTAATAGGAACATATGATTAGTTGCTACAGTATTGAAATACAAAGTTCTAAGACTTCCTTTTTTGCACAGGGTTTTTATGCAACACAAATAAAGGGATAGTTTATCCTTTAATGGTAATAATACTGTTCTTCATTGATGAATTATTTCTTAGAAATATTGCCCATACATTTATTAAAGTTACAGTCAAATGTAACCAGCTTAAAAGTTCATTTTGTAAGTGTCTGTTATGATCAGTCAGATGTTGTAGTTGTTGTTTAATACTCAGAGGCCACTTTTCTTTGATTCCTGGACCTTGGTGGACAGAACATATTTAATTCTCAAATACTGACAATTCTGACATTTGTTTTCACAACAATTTAACCTTATTATGAGAAGTCTTATTTTCTGCATTGCTTTTTTTCATTTATCACAATTTTTCTTCCCAAACCAGAAAAAAAAATCGAAGAGTTGTTGAGATAAATGCACAGGTTTGAGAAAAAGTTAAATAAATAAATAGAAGTACCACATTTTAACTTTTTGCACTGTGTAATAACAGTATTAATGACACTCAATCAATATCCTACAGATGACTATGATAGTCATTACTGTTGTACTCATTGCTTCAAAACAGATTCCCAGAGTAAAGCAAAAGTACGCATAGGAAGGAAGCTGTCCAAGCCCTCCATTGCTCTTTGAGCTCATCATGTGATTATAGGGAAGGGGAAAGGGAATGATTTCCTCAGAAAAATATACTGATCACCATATATTCTTTCGGGATGCTAAACAAGTATCCAGAAAAACATTTACATGTAATACATCTACAAATCCTCTTTTCCAGTAATGCTTATGTCCTGTCATCGGAGATATAAAATTCTTTCTGGGTTACTAATTTCTTAATTTGGCCAATTTATTTAAGATGCTCTTCAAAGTTTTAATTTAATTGACTAAAATTCCCACCGTGAATTGGCATACGGAATGATCATACTTTCTAGACTCTTTGCACATGCACTTCAAGGACAGAGGAGAAAAGAAAACTGTTTCACAAAACACACACACATGCATACGAACATGGAGAAAATTTCACAAACATTTTCTTGAAAGCATAAGCAAAATTATAAGAAAGTAAACAAAATCATAAAAGTTTTTTGAAATCAAAAAGAATTAAAAAATAGAGCTAGCATTTTTCAATTTTTCAGAACACATTGCTCCATCTCTGTCCCTCCAAAAAGGAGCTTATTATTACATTATTCTTATTAAAATTACTACTAAAGGATTAATGAATTAACTTGAATTAAATGAGATGATTAAAAGTGTGAATCAAGAAATAAATAGGTAAATAAAAATATATTAAAATACAATAATGTTAAGCTGAAGTGTAAAAACAAGTTGGTATTAAAATGCTAAACAAGAAAATATAAAATGAGAAAGATACGTTCAGAATCTTATGTATTGTTTGAGATAAGCAATGATAAACTTAGGCAATATTAAGTCAAGCATGTCTGTTAAATTTTTAAAGATACAATCAAAAGATACATCTGAAAAGGGTAGATAGATATAATATAGAAAGGGAAATAGGAGAATAAAGGAAATTCAATCTTTCCAACAGAAGTGCACAAAGCAAAAAAAAAAAAAAAAAAAAAGGTGCCTAGGACTAGAAAGTAAAATTGAAATATCAAAATAAGATTGTAGAAATACAGATATTTGAATTATCACAAAAATGTTGACTCAACTTGCCATTAGCAAGTGAATTAAATAGAATGTATATGTAATTAAATTTTAACTTATTTAACACAGCCACTGTGCTAGGCAGCTAGAGATACAGTAGAAAACAAAACAAACAAATAACTTGCTTTATGAAACTCTTTTACAAGCTAGTGGAGGAAAAAATAAAAGAAAATTAAGTAAAACATGCATTTTTTGTTTAGTGGAAAGTGCAATGTGAAAAAGTAAATAAGAATGAAGGAAGAAAAAAAAAACTGGTGTAAAGACTGAAAAAATGGTTCTAGTTATGTACTCCCAGAAAAGTCATAGCTGCATTCTGTGTTGTAAGAACAGTTTCAAAGTAGAAAGATGGATAAAGATATACGTGACAAATGTGAACAAAGAGAAAGCTGCTGGACTCATCCATGTTATACAATAGACTAATTTTCATCCACTCCCCCACTCATTACAAATACAAATTTTGAATTTTTTTGTGCACTAGTTAGAATAGCTTTAAAAACTTCATTGTATAAAATTATATAATAATGAGAAACTGAAAAACACACAATAAAATAAGAGCTTAGTTTAATTTGGCAGTCATTTACAGAGCATGAAAAAATGTAAAAATGAGGTTTCAAAACTATGACTCTAAAATTTCATTTAATGGAATTTGCATACCACAATTAGAGAATATACATTCTTTTTATGTTTACATGAAATTTTTACAAAAATTGACCAAATATCTGACCATGAAACAAAACACAATAAATGCTAAAAATTTATTATGATATAAATGACATTGTCTGAACACAGAATACCTAAATAAGTGGGAAAATATGCTATATTCATGGGTGACAAATAGTCCATCAAAAAATGCAAGTATTTGCAATTTAACCAATATATGAAATGCAATTCAAATTACATCCTTATAGTATTTTTAGGAATCTCTATAAATTGTTTTTAATCTATAAAAATACTAATAACTTGATATACTGAGAGAACTATGAAGTACAAGGTAAAGGTCCTGAAATGTATGGTAACTTGGTATATTGCAGGGATGGCATTAAAATAAAATGGTTGAATTTTGGAATATTTAATAAATCATGCAGGTTCAATTAGAAAAAATATGGAAGAATACGAAACATATGTACATCATATGCCTGACTTACAAATTCAGGAGCAATCTAACATTTTTAATAAAGTTAATAATATGCATAACATATAAGTTACACTCACAAGAATATAACCTAGAAACACTGGCACACATGCACAAAGAAGCATCATACTACAAATTTTGAAAAAAACCTAAATATTTATTCTCACTTGAATAGATACATATATTTATTTTGACTTAACTTGGATTTTAATTTTTAATGCTGTATAAATGTTCATAAAGCATTAATAAGTAATTATTAAATGGTCCCTACAATGCCAAACATAATTTGCATGATTGTGGTTGTCTTCAGAATATGATAACTAGAGATCTCTGGATAAAAACTCTGATGTTACAAGTACCCCTTATATCAGAAATCTTCTGGTCATAAAGTCAACAGTAGCTCATCCCAACACATAATAAAGCAAGAGTGGTAGATCTTTGTATACAACAAGAAGAATAAGGTAAATAAGTAACATATTTTCTATCTAAATTTCAATAGTCTTCAGAACAATCACTCATAAAATAAAGATTAAAATTCATTCCCATTTTGATTAAGATTCCAACTTTAAACAAGCAAAATAATCTCTAATTATTTTTTTTCATGTTGATGCTTCCAATCTAATCCTCTAGCACAAATCCTCTAAAGTTAACCTCAAAACTTTATAAATCACCATTCAAATGCTCTTCAGGGACTGTTAACTCAACATTAAGCCCATAAACACGTAGTCCTTTACAGATGACAATGGCTTGTATGTGTATGTATGTGTTTGTGTTTGTATGTACATATATTCTCATATATGTGTTTTTCTCTCTCTTTACATCCCAGTTCCAAGTATCATCATTTATATACTACCAATTATTAAAATCCTGAAATCATATCTTACTCCTTCCTCACCCTAGCTCCCAACTCCGATTTGATTTTGTTTGCAAGTCTGTATTACCTGTTTCCTATTGTGAATTTGCCATGATAGGGCACTAGAACTAAAGCCCATCACACATCAACAGAATGCTGTATTTCTTCCTCTTGTTCTCCTCACCTACAGTCTGCTCCACCAGTACATCCTTCCAATGCATGCAAGGTGTGTATTCTTAAAGGTCTCTGGCTTTGTTTTAAAACATCCCCAAATGAGTCTATGTTTCTCACTTTCTGTAGACTTAATGAGTACGGTTACTCTTATTATCATTAACATTTCTTTATCAAGAGTGCTGCTGTCTCTCCATTCAGGCACATTATATTTGAAAAGTCAAATTGGAAATTTAATATTTTAAACTATTCTTCTGGACACCTCTTTTTTTTTTACTCTATCTCCTCTGCCTTGGAATGCATGAGTTGTATGAGATGGCCACTACGCCTGCTCACCAGAGTTTTATTTATTTTTTAAGCCCAGTTTGTAACTTTATATAATTTTTAAGTCTCAACAAAACCACTTCTGTGAACACAAACCCTGTTTAAAATATTCTCTCTTCCAAGCTACCGTATTTTTCTAACAACTTTTTATGACACGTATGCTCTATAATGCATCAGTGTGTGTCTATGAGCTCAACATGCACATAAATACATCCTATGCTCAACTGTGAGAATACTGACCCTCTGAGTTCAAAAGGAGAATTTCACATAGAGATGCCACTCAACTTATGATGGGGCTATGTTCTGACAAACCCACAGTAAGGTAAAAATATCATTAAGTAAAAAATGCATTTAATATATCTAATCAACCAAACTTTATGGCTTAGTCTAGCCTACTTTAAATATGCTCAGAATACTTACATTAGCCTACAGCCAGGCAGAATCCTCTAACATAAAGCCTATTTTAAAACAAAATGCTGTGAATATTTTATGTAGCTTTATTGAATACTTACATTAGTGTTGCAATGATTTTGAACAATTATAGAGTCGAAAAATTATCAGTCAAATCGTTGAAACTCAACGGCCATCTGTATTACTTCTCCTGTCTCCGTTTGCACATATTGAATAAAGCTCACTCAAAAAATAACAGTGCTATTGTTTAGTCTTTGTAGATAGCTAGAGTCTGAATGTGTAATTAGATAAGCATGAATAAGCATGAATCTATGCATTATAGATCCAGCTGGTAATTCAACAAGTCAGTTGTGAAAGTTTGCTTTAATTATGAAAGTAGAGGTACACATTTCAATATTGTATTATCTTTGGTATCAAATTTCTATATCTCTGGTGTCAACTATATTGAAAGAAAAATTAAGGTTAAAAACTTCTACTATATTCATACATAAAGCACATTAAGAAAGTAACTTTATGCACACAGAGAATGCTAAAACCTTGCACTTTATTCCCAGAGCTTAGACATCAGCACTGCCAAACAATTGCTGTGAGTTGGAAAACATTCTGGATATTGATATTCAATATTTTTAACCTTTTGTCAGTAAGTGATGAATTAACTCAGCTCCAAGGCTGTTCCAGTTGACAGTGAGAGCTGATTTAACTCATTTCTCACTGCAGGGAGAAGAATTTAATCCAGGGAGAACAGCCAATAGAAAAAAGAAAATGAATTAAAAATAAAATTAGTGCGCTAGTACTTTAGCACTGTTAGGCATTCCAGAAACTCAGGGATAATTAACATTCTTAATATAAAATATTGATGTTATGCAGTATTAATGCAGTATCACAGTAAGAACTGACAGTGTTTAATGTTTCATAGCAGTCTTCTAGCTGAGCTAGAACTTCTTTTCACAAGCAAAGGAATTTAATTTTAGATTCAAAAAATATTAAACCCCTTTGAATGGAAAGCAATTAGACTCTTTCTTGCTTTCTATCTTTACTGTTTTATCTTACTCCTATACAATGAGACAAACTGATTTTAAATTACTGCTAGCTAATAGTTTGTAAAGTTGGGTTTGACCTTCAGAGAAACAAGTATTGTAATTCACATGACTATCTAAATCAGTACTTTAGACAAATTTTGGCTTTTTAATTTGTTCAATCTTTTCGCATTTATTAGTTGAAATTATTCTGTTTTCGCCACCCCCTACTTCATTCAGTAGGCTTTGGTAAGCCTAAAATGTAGTCCATACAGAAAGTAGAGAATAAATTCTTAATTTTTCTCATTTAACTATCAATTTTCAGCATAATCAGTTGATATCCTGGCAAATTCTAGTATTCTCTACAGAGTGTTGTATTATTTCTATGTGACTGATTGCACACACACACACACACACACTTCACTTTTGTGTACTTGGGGTTTTCAATCCATTGTAATCATCATTCTTTTGGAAGCACAAATGGTTTTAATGTCGAACAGTGAGAGCATCTTCATACTGGCTCTTGGACCTTCTGAATGGACTTAATAATCTAATCTGTTTGTAACCTCCTGTCTTAGTCTGTGTTGGCTACTATAACAAATGACCATAAACTGGATGACTTCAAGAACCAACATTTAGTTTTTACAATTCTAGGGAATGGGAAGTCCAAAATCATGGTGCTAGTATTTTCAGTTCTAGTAATGGCCTATTTCCTTGTTTGCAGATAGCCTTCTCCTTTCTGCATCCTCATGTGGCCAAGAGATAAGTTATCTCTCTTGTGATTATTTTTAGTATTTAATTTTTTTACTGACATATAACATGCATACAGAAATACATGCACAAATAGTTAATGCTGGCGAAGTTGTGGGGAAAGGGGGAACTCTCACACACTGTTGGTGGGAATGTTAATTAGTACAGCAACAGTGGAGAATAGTATGGAGATTCCTTAAAAAACTAAATATAAAGCAACCATATGATCTAACAATCTGACTACAAAGTGTATATATAAAAGAAAGTAAATTACCATATTGAAGAGATATCTGCACTCCCATGTTTACTGTAGCACTACTAACAATAGCCAAGATTTGGAATCAACTTAAGTGTCCATCGACAGACAAATGGATAAAGAAAATGTGATATATGTACATAATGGAGTACTATTCAGTCATAAAAAAGAATGAAATCTTGTCATTTGCAACAACATGGATGAAATCAGAGGACACAGGTTAAGTGAAATAAGCCAGGCACAGAAAGACAAACTACACATGTTCTCACTCATTTGTAGGAGCTAAAAATTAAAACAGCTGAACTCACAGAGATAGAAAGTAGAATGATGTTTACCAGAGGTTGGGAAGGGCAGTGGCAAGGTGGTGATGGGTGATGGTGATGGTTAATGGGTACAAAAATGGAGACACAATTAATGAGATCTAGTATTTGATAGCACAACAGAGTGACTACAGTCAGCAATGATTTCTTGTAAAATAACCAAAGGAGTACAATTGGAGTGTTCATAACACAAAGAAATGATAAATGCTTGAGGTAATGAATACCCATTTACCCTCGTGTGATTATTACATTTTGTATGCCTGTATCAAAATATCTCATGTACCTCATAAATATATACCTACTATGTAACCATAAAAAATTAATTAAAAAATAGAAATGCATGTACAAAGCATTCATGTAATGCTCAATGAATTATTACAAAGCTAATACACTTTTGTAATGAAGAAATAAAACCAGCCTCACACATGCCCTCGATAATCACTTTCTTCCTCTTTCCTTCACAAAGGTAACTATGATCTTAAGAACTAACATAGTAGATCAATTTTGTCTTTTTCTTCAAGTGTTTTATTACAGAAAAGTTTGAACATACACAAAACAAATAAAATAGTACAGTAGACCTGTCATCCACCCTCAACCACTACTAATCATTCTTGAGTGCTCCACACTCATGACCTAATTACCTACCAAAGGCCCTACATCCTAATACCATCACATTCAGGTGTAGGTGTTCACCCTGTGAATTTCTGGGGGATACAAACACTCAGTCCATAACACTACCATCCTTCATATTTAATAATATGCCCCAAACTTATCTCACAAATTTTCTGTCCAACATCAAAAAGATCTATTTCTCTAAAGAAGCAATGACTGTTTAATAAACAAAATCTGCTAGAGGTCTTTATTGCTATTGAGTTGCTATTGTTCTTAAATCCTTTTAATGGATGATGTTAAAACATACATTAGAATATAAAAATATAAAAACAAATTGCAGTGCTGTATTCAATTCACATATAAGATTTCTATTCTTTTGTGAAAAGCTTATTTCCTACACAAAATTAGCATGAATAATTATATTCTCTATCCTACAATATGGAAAATTATAATGGAAGTATCTGCAAGGTAAGAATAATACAACGGGATAAAGTTAATATTTCTTTGCATATATTTTGTCCTTAGATTAGATATGTGGCTTGACTATATATAAACAATTAGATTATTTTTTTCTTCTGTGAGGTTATGTCACCAAAATGACATGTAATTAGCTATATTTGTTTTATTTTATTTTAAGCTTGTTTTACTTTCTGTTTTGCATTCTGATTATACAAAAATTTACATAACTCAAATATAAAAATTATATTACCTGTATATTAATATGAATTCCTTTCACCCCTGTTCTTTCCATTTTGTGCCTCCCTGTCCTTCAAGTATTAAATATTTTTAGTAGTTTTTGCTGGTTTTTCATTAGCTTTTTGCAGATATAATTATCTGCAAAATATATTTATGGGTTACGAGTGTGTTTGCTTTCTCCACTTTTTAAATCAACAAGCAGCATATATTCTGCTTTACGTGTTGCTTTCTTCACTTAAAAATACATTTTGTGGATCACTTCATATCATTAGATAAAGCCCTTGCTCATATAGTTTTACAATAGCCTAGCACTCTGTTTTGTGACTATAGATTGTTGGATGTATTTATTTATTTATTTATTCAGTCCTTTATGGATGACCATTTTGATTGCTTGTAACATTGTTATTACAAATAGTGCCAGAGCAAACAACTTTGTTCATATGCCATTTTGGAAGTGTGTCATGAAGATAGATTTCTAGAAGTGGGATTGCTGTACTAAAAAACAGATGCATATATGATTTTCCCAGATGTCACTATGTTGCCTTCCAGAGGGGCTGTGCCATTTTGCATTTTCATCAATGATGTATGAGACGTGTTGCCACACTTGAGGTTTCTGCCACTCAGAGAAATTATACTTTTATTTTGACTTTTTCTCCTAATATGTAGAGTTGAATGTCTTTTTATTTGTAAAGAGTCATTTGTGTTTATCTGTCTATGACTATTTTGTCAATCTTTTTTCCCATTTTCTATGTTTTTGGTCTTTATCCTTTAAATATCTGAAAGCCTTTGTTTTATGCTGGGAATATATTTTTACTATGAATTGTCTTTTGACTTTGCTTATGGTTCTGTTTTGCCTTGTTCTTGCCATGAATTATTCTTTATAAAAGAGTATAACTATAATTACCCTATTAGTTATCTGTTATTTATTCTCTTACAGCATACCATTGTAAAGCCCTATACCAGAAGATGAGAATAAACATAATTACTATTATTATTGTACAAAAGACTTTATCTCTCCAAATTCATATGTTAAAATTCCAACCCCCAAGGTGATGGTATTATGAAGTGGGGCCTTTTCAAAGGTGATTAGGTAATGACTGCAGAATTCTCATGAATGGGACTGGTGCCCTCATAAAAGGGGCTCAGAGAGCTGCCTTGACCCTTCTATCATGTGAAGCCACATCTAGAAGGTGCCATCTATGAACCAGGACTTTACCAGACACTAAATCTGCCCACACTTTGATCCTGAACTTCCCAGAACTGTAAGAAATAAATTCATGTTGTTTATAAGCTATTCAGTTTATGATATTTTGCTAGAGCATTCTAAATGGACTAAGGCAAATATCATAGTAGAAGAGACAGGCACTAAAGTGACAAATTTAAACATAGAGTGAAAAATTCTATAAATGGATATGTGTGAGGAATACACAAACATATCAGGCCTTATTTAATACATTATCAGAGGTATTATATCTTTTTTTAATCCTGCACTATAGAAAAGTTTCCATTTTTGTCACAATAATTAAATGTCTGATTAATATCTGCAGGAATTAGCTTGCTTATACTGATTACTATTTTTTCACATCTAGGAAAAAATATGTGAAATGATGGAGGATGTGATGGAGGAACAGGTACTGTAGTTACTTTTTGCCAAATATAACTATAAAACAAGAAATATATATACATGTATATGTGTGTATTTTTCAGAATAAAAGAAATAGGCATGCAGGTTAAGGACTGCTGAGAAAAGAATAACCAGGTAAATTTTATTATTGTGTCAGTTTTCTGCCTGCAACAAATATCCATGCTTCAGTGCAGCATCTCACTGAGTAGAGAAGATAGATTTCAGAGTGTAGGGTGGCCGGGGCAGCTAGAATTTGCAAAGCATAACATTTTAGAGGAAAGAATTACAATTAGAGGCTCATCCTATTTAATTTTTAAACAAAGTAGTTTTGTTTTCACATGTGATCCCACTATCACTTTAAATAGAAATAATTTGCAGTGATGCTAGGAAACTTTACACACATCTTCACATTTCCAAAATTTTTTTCTATTCTGGTTTTAGAATAGAATTTTAAAACACAGTAAATACATAATCTGCACTTGTGTTGATTTGAATATTAAACAGTTCTAATTATTTTATGTGAAAAAAATCTGTATTGTTCTTAGGTTGATAATTTTAATGGCACAGAAATTTTCTGTTGTGGATGTAATTTCTATTTCTAAAAATTAAAAAAAAACTTATTGTGAGAAAAAAGGCTGAAAAATAAAGAAAAAAATGAGAATATTAAGGTACAGAAACAGGACATTTTAGCCTTCTAAAATGCTGAGGTTTTCTCTTGGTCCCTGATGTTTCTTTTTGTTCTTGTTGTAAATTCTATTCCTGGTTTTAATTTTCATTGTTTTACATTTTGTATTTTTTTAATTTTTGGAAAGTTTTGAAACTAAGAAAGTAAAAGGAAAGATCAGCTGTTCTTCTTTCTCTATATTTTACTCTTAACACTCACTACTACTTCCATTGTCTTCTGACACCAAATGTGTGAGGGGTTTTTCCACCAAGAAATTCAATTCTCCAGTTCTCAGCAGACACCCACAGGGTATCCCATAGTTAAACTCAATCCTGACACTATATACCTAAAAATAGTGTCAGATCCCACAGGTTAAGGCTTCAGTTCCACAAGATGGCGCTACTTTAGATGCCAAATGCAAGTCCAGGCTGCCTCCTGTGCTTATGACCAACCAGCTATAATTCGTAATTTCTATCATCCCCTCTCTGGATCCAGTTTCTTTCAAGACTGGCTCAGAGACCTCAGAAAAACAGTTTACTTACTTAGTTGCCAGTTTACTATAGCAGGGTACAACCCGGGAACAGCCAGATGGAAAGTTATGGAGGCTTTACCACGTAGGTATGATCAATTATCACCTCAATTTTCAGCCCTTCTCCCCTTCATGGACAATGGGGGATAGAAGTGAAAGTTCCAAAGTTTTAATCATGTCTTGGTCTTTCTGGTGACCAGTCCCTATCCAGGACCCCACCAAGAATTGTTTCATTAAAACAAAGACACTCTTTATCACCCAGGAAATTCTAAGGGATTTAGAAGCTCTGTATTAGCTACTTGAATCAAAGATCAAATATTAGAACAAAAGCTGTTCCTAGCACCCGTATCATAGGAAATTCCAAGGATTTTAGGAGCTGTGCATCAAGAAACTGGGGCATATATATATGTATATATACACACACACATCTATCTACCTATGTGAGTAAACAAAAGGTTTATAAAAGAGAATCAAATAAGATTCTCAGTTACGTTATTTTCTGTGAAGTAATATCTATTGAAATAAATTCCATATACTTATATACTATTTTTATATAACATATATTATTATATATAATATATAGATGTTATTTTATAGAAAACAAAATAACTGAGAGTGTTTGCTTGCTCACATAGCACTATAACAGTAAGCAGAAACCTTCCCCCCCAAAGGTATTTTGATTGTGTAATGTAGTGCAATTTTATCAGCTGAAGACATCATTGTATTTAGACAGAATGTACAAATTCAAATTCAATGCCGTCAAATGTCACCACAAGGCACAAGTCTTACTGATAGGGAAATTCTTTCTTAAAAAAAAAATTATAGGGTACATTTTCTTCCAAAAAGTGTTGTGTTTAGTACAGGAATGATGACAGAGTACATTTCTGAGCTTAAGCAGTTGAAAACAAGTAGAGAAAAAGAAATACCACAGACTCAGATTTCTAGTCCAAGCCTTGTTTTTTTTATTTTTAAATTGAGCATACTTCTTTATTTGTAATTCTGAGCTGTGGACAGATTTGATCATTTTGTCTGTTGTTCTTTCATAGCTTTAATGTTCTATCTCTTTACATATTTACTTACAGTAAACATGCAGTGTTATGCAGATGGGGAAACATATATGCATTTGGAAATCAGTACTCTGCTGGCCTTCTTCATTTAAGAGGCAGAGATTCCAGACGGCATACATTTTCTGGTATAAGGAGAGATTGTGTTGAAATCTGAGTTAGAACCGTCAAGTAGATAATTGTTGCAATGCCTCTCTCTACTTCATTGTATCACATTCTCTTGTTTGCTTCTCTCCTAATAGATATTTGTCGCCAAAAAATCCAGCCCCTTTACTGCTAAGCAGATGTTTTAAACAGGGAGTAGGTTGGCTTCTGACCTTAAACTGGGGGTGGAAGGGTGGGATTACTGAGGTAGTAAAGATGATAATGCTTGTTTTACCTTCTTCCTTCCTTGCCATCCACCGCTGTTATCACTGGTATCATTTTCAGTTGCTTTGTGTGTGTGTGTGTATATATATATATTTCCAATTATTCTTAAATGCCTCTCTGCATTAAGCTCTTCTATACCTTGAGGCTGGTTTTCCCATAAAATATAGGTTTCTTCAGATTGTATGTATCCAAAAAGTAATGATTAGAATATCAGTAAATTTGGCTTTATCTAAGTGAAAATAAAAACAGAAAAATGTGATATAAAAGAAAGTATTTTTCTTCTTTTAGTTTCTCTTTCCTTAATAATAGCTGTATTAGGACATTTCAAAAAAGACATACATTAACTCCTGTAAAAGAAAAAGAAAAAACAGTTAATGAGACTAAATTGAGCTCTGTAGAGAACCTGGTTTTTATCCATGGGCACTGAAAAGGAAAATAGATGAAAGCACCAATGAGGAGATAGAAGGAAAGAAAACGTTGCTTGGGGATCATCTGTGAATTTACATTGGTAGAACCCAGCACTTACATTCCTGAAACCTCAAATTTTAGGTGAGCTTATCTAAACTTTCTCTTCATTTGACCCACCCCTGTCTTTAGTTCCTAACAGCTGTTCAGGATATTCAGCTTCTTCAATACTATTCCTAATATTCTCAGGATGGCAGGTAAGGGAATTAAGAAAAGGTCAGAGCTGCAATCAAGGTGGAATTTCTGGAACAAGAATCAAATTTATCACTAGGATTAGAAGCATGAATTTCAAGGTAAATTGGCTCAGACATTTATGCGTCAAAGAGCCTCTTGGGTGTATCTATCCTGACCAGAAATCCTAGCCCACCAGTCTCCAATTTGGTAGCTTCTGGCAATGTGAGGCTATTTAAATCTATGCTTACATTAAATAAAATTTAATAAAATTATAAATTGAGTTTCTCAGTTGCCCTAGTTACATTTTAACTGGGGTTGGTAACCAACATATTGAAGAGTGCAGATTATAGAACATTTCCATCATTGTAGAAAATTTTACTGGACAGTGTAACTCCAGCCCCATGATTTAAAAGTAGAAATAACAAAGTGGGTTATAGGAATGGTAAAGCATGTTACCTTTCAGGTTTTCAAATGATAACTCAGAATGGGTTTCTTCTCCTAAGGTACTCCTAATGAAAGAGTACATCATAATTATGTAAAGCTCCAGCATGGGGCTAGACTACATAGGAACAGTCTTGACTTTCACTGCTTACTGACAGACGGTGTTTTGGCAAAGTTAACTTATTTTGCTGTATCTCAGTTTTCTCACTGAAAAGATTGAAATACTAATAGCAGCCACAGTATAGGGCTGTTTAAGTTCTTTTGAAAAATACTGGATTGAGCTATGATTGATATGTAAATAGCTGTACATATTTAATACATACAATAGGATGAGTTTGGAGATAAGTATATACTTGTGAAACTATTGCCACCATCTATGCAATAACCCTATCCATCACTTCCAAAAGTTTTCTCCTGCCTTGGGTATTTATGCACTTATTTATTTACATCATATATATGTGATAAAAACACTTAACATATGATATATCTCTTAGCAATATTTTAAGTACAGAGTACACTATTATGAACTTCAGGTACTATGATTTACGGTATATCTCCTCTAGGACTTGCTCATCTGGCATAGCTGAAACTTAGTATCCTTTGACTGATAACTTGCTATTTTCCCCTCACTGCAGTCCCTTGTAACCATTCTGTTCTCTACATTTATGAATCTATTTTAGATTTTCA
Source organism: Homo sapiens (assembly GCF_000001405.40). Taxonomy (NCBI): domain Eukaryota; kingdom Metazoa; phylum Chordata; class Mammalia; order Primates; family Hominidae; genus Homo; species Homo sapiens. The sequence continues at coordinate 81,490,682 of NC_000013.11, forward strand.
CATAAGTGGTACCGTGTAGTATTTGTTTTTCTGTATCTGGCTTATTTACTTAGCATAATGTCATCCAGGTTCATCCATGTTGTCATAAATAACAAGATTTCTGTTTCTAAAGTCTGAATAATAACCCATTCAATATACATACCACATTTTCTTTATCTATTTATCTGTTGAGGAACATTTAGGTTGCTTCCATGTCTTGGCTACTGTGAAGAGTACAGCAATGAACATGGGAGGGGAGATATCTCTTCAACATAGTTATTTCATTTCCTTTGAATATATACCCAGTAGTGAGACTGTTGGATCAGGTGGTAGTTCTATTTTTAATTTTTTTGTGGAACCTCTATACTGTTCTCCACAGTGGCTGTACTAATTTATATTTTCCCTAATAATGTGTAAGGTTCTCTTTCCTCCACATTCTCACCAATACTTATCTTTCTTTCTTATTTTAAACAATAGCTATCCTAACAAATTTGAGGTGATATCTATCTATCTCATTTAATTTGCATTTTTCTGAATATTAGTCATGTTGAGAACATTTTCATATACCTGTGTTGGCCCTTTGTATGTCTTCTCTGGAAAAAAAAGTTTATTCATGTCCTTTGCTCTTTTTTTCTTTTTGAGACGGAGTCTCTCTGTGTCGCCTAGGCTGGAGTGTAGGGGCGCGATCTCGGCTCACTGCAAGCTCCATCTCCCGGGTTCACACCATTCTCCTGCCTCAGCCTCCCAAATAGCTGGGACTACAGGCGCCCGCCACCACGCCCGGATAATTTTTATTTTATTTTATTTTATGTATGTATTTATTTATTTATTTGGTAGAGACTGGGTTTCACCATGTTAGCCAGGATGGTCTCGATCTCCTGACCTTGTGATCTGCCTGCGTTGGCCTCCCAAAGTGCTGGATTACAGGCGTGAGCCACTGCGCCTGGCCCTTTGCTCATTTTAAATCAGGTTATTTATTTATTTAGTTGTTGTTTCTGTTTTTGCTATTGAATGGTAGGAGTGCCTTAAATATTTTGACTATAAACCCTGTATTAAATATACAGCAAGCAAATATTTTCTCCCATTTGTAGGTTGCCTTTTCATTTTGTTGATTGCTTCCTTTGCTGGGCAGAAGTTTCAGCTTGATATTATCCCACTTGTGTACTTTTGCTTTTGTTGTCTGTGCTTTTGGTGTTATATTCAAGAAATCATTGTCAAAGAAAACGTCAAGAAACTTTCTATGTTTTTTGTAGAATTTATTTTAGTTTCAGGTCTTATATTTAAGTCTTTAATTCATTTTGAGTTGGTTTTTGTGTATAGTGTATCATGAAGGTCCACTATCATTATTTTGGATGTGAATATTCTGTTTTCCCAACACTGTTTTCTCCAAATATTCAAGAGACTATCTTTTCCCCATTGTGTTGGTGGCACCCTTGACATGGATCAGTAGGCCACATAAGCATAGGCTTATTTCTGGGCATCCTATTGTATTTCATTGGCTTATATGACTATTTAAACTTTAAAAATGTATAATACTACTTGCAATGTAGCAATCATTCCAAAAAACTGTTCACTATAATTATTTTCATTATTCTATAGCTACCACATATGTTAAATGAGAATAATGACAATAGTTCCCGTTGATCAAGCCAAGGGCTTTTCTAGTACAAACTATCTACCTAAACCCTGAATATAGCATTCTTACTAAGGAAAAAAAGAAAAACAACAAGAGTAAATTTTACCAAATAGATTTAGGGAACAGTGTGCATATCATGCATGTGCTCCTATGTAGAAACTTTAAAGATTATAATAGATTTGAAAAGTATATCTTATAATTGCTATGCTCAATTTTATTTATATATTTATATGTGAAAAATAGTCAAGAAATTTATTTCAAGGACTTGCTATAAACATTAATGCTCTTAGTCTTTGTAGTATTTCAGACGGCTATTGACAGTAGCCGAACTGAAGCAATAACTTACTCTCATGTCTCTTAGCTGTTCATTAGTTTGATATATTTCCTTCAAACACCATTAATGCCAAGCTGCTGATCGATTACAGCAGATAGCTTGGCATCATTATTAGATGGCTCTAATTATTTTGGGTAGATATTAAGAATTTTATTTTCAGAAAGCAAATGCTAGAAAGAATGTAATCTCTAAATTGTATTTTGAGCACTAAATATAATTATATCTATATTGATGTCATTTCTCAGTACTTAAAGTAATAACTGGAAAGTCATTTTTATATACATACATTTCTAAAATGTATCCTGCAAATTATCCTTAAAGAAAGAAAATAAGGTATCTGTTAAATGTATTTTATTCTTCATTGTTATAAAGAATAATAAAACTGATTTAACTGTGTTCAAAATAAGATTCATAACTCTGGTTAATGATCAAAAAGGACCAAAAGAATATAGTAAAAAAAAAGAAGTATGATTTATCAATTTTGATATAAAATTTTTGTTTTCTACACATCCATGTAGTTCTCTCCATAGCAACATTATTAACAAAGAAAAGTCATCTTTTTATTTCCTTTTGGTTCCTGAGAGGGAAACACAATGCCTGAGCATTAGTGTTTCTATATGGAATGGTTAATGAATGGTGAGGACACACTGTGGTCAGGTCAAAGCTCTTGTTTACTCATTCTAAAAGCTACATATGTATCATGGGGTTACATCATTTTCTAGAGTGCGGTATGCCAGTAAATGCAATTTAGCATATTGTCTTCGATTAACGCTTCCCATCTGTTATGTATGTGGCAAGTGAGTGAACAGTTGGGGGAAAATAAAGAAACATTGCTGCAGTATTAGTATGAATACTACCCTTATTAATGGTAAAGCAATTTTAAAAAATACCGCTTACACATTATTAACTCTAAAAATGTTTCTGCACAGTAGTTTTTAATATGCCAGTGAGGTTATTCATATGGTTTAATTCCCCAGGATAGTGTAAAAAATATATCTGTATCCTTAGGGCAGGAAAAATATTAGAAAGATCCTCAGAAGGTTCATTTTCTAGTGTTCCAGAGGCTACAGTGGGAGCCATTATCTCTTTAAAACAGAGTGATGACCAATAAATTGTACTATGTTACTTTTGCATGCGTTAGGCTCACTTTACAGATGTAAAAATGAAACAAACAAAAATTAGTAATTGGCTCAATTTCTGACAGCTCATGGATGTTGAAACTATTCTTAACCACTACAATATAGTGACTTTTTAGGAAAAATGGATATTTGAGGGAAAACAAGGAGAATATAAACCCCATATTAAGCTGCATAATTTATACCAAAAAAAAAGAAAAGAAGAAAAGGAGAAACCTTTAAGAAAAAGAAAATTTAAAAGAGTAGCTAGCAAAAAGTTACAACTCTGACAAAAAAAATTTTTTAAATATTCTAAATGGGATTTTTCAACTTAACAATTAAAAGACATTGTAAAAATTTCAGACAGAACAGAAAATATGCTCCCAGTTGGGAAACAGGTTCAGAATGAGGAGAGAGACAAAGGGTCTGAAATCATCATGCCCAGTTGAATTTTTCTAAACTCTCAGGAGAAAAATGATTGAAATGCTGATATGCATCCCTCCACAATGAAGGAATCATCATGAGTGGGAAAAGAGTCTTTTTCCTGTAAAAATGCTATTTTGCTACTTAGCCTTCAATTCTTTGCCTAGTAAACCAGTTGACTAAACTAAATACTTCCTTCTTTTACAGTTTGAAATTTCTGTGTCTTGGAGATCTTCCTCTACTACCTTATATGGTGGGGAAAAGAGTGAGTATACGTTTCTCATCCTGACGTATCCTGATGAATTTTGAAACCTAGATTGATTTTTTGTGCCACTTATATATACCACCACCTACTGTTGATATGTTGTGTGTGAACGGATTGTAAATTTATTTGTGCATTGAAACACATTCTACATTTTCTTTCTGTGTCCCACACAAATATCCCCTAAAGAGATCATTGCACTTGTCATGATCGGTATCGAAGCAGTCATAAGGCTCATACAAACAGGTAAGGTAGACTGAAATAGGAATGAAGTCTGAGTTTTATACAGTGATAGAAATGCAAGCTAAGCTTTGAATCTGGAGATCGAGAAACAAAGATATGGTTACAAAATTTTTTTAAAAATTAATATACATAGATCAATATTAGTTAAAAGTAAAAGTGTGGAGACTATAGGGACTTATGTTTAGATCATTTTGAGGTAAACTATGAAATTATGAATGTGCACTGGGGAGAGATGTGGTAAGCCATCAGTAAGATTCTAATTTAGTAAAATATAGAATAATCAGGCATCTAAGGCCAGTAAGAGATATTAGAAACTCTCCCTCTAAGACTGATGTTCAATCACTTTAAAATCTACCCATCATAGCTTTAGAGCAGTCTAAAAACAGATACAGCAATACAAATGACTTTCTGCTGAGACCAAGACCTATTATAGTAGAGATAATGGCATAGAACTTAATTAAAGTAATAATTGGACTAGGGTGAGGTGAAGCTAGTTATGATACAAATCGTTAAGCATCATTTTCCTTATAACCAACCCAAACCGTAGGGCATATTGAATAATATTCATATTTATATATGTTGAAATTTTAGAAATGGAAATTCTTAAAAGTACTACCAGGTCTTTTCATTTACTAAGAAATAAGGGTTTGTCAGATAGGTTTGCACTGTGGAGAACCACAGATCATTGTAATATCAAACATTTTTCCACTAGTTAAGAACCAATTTTTACATCTTTGAGGGCTCTAACACCCCTATTGAGAATGTATGCATTAAATTTTATCTATATTTTAATGAATCTTGATGTTAGGTCTTCAGAAAGAACCACTTGGGTGAACTCTAACTCATCATCACCAACTACCTAAATGACACCTTCAGTTGATATTTATTAAATATCACAATCTGAAAATGTTCTAAATAAAAAGTTCTAACATACATTTTTACTCTTCTAAAGACTCCTCTCTCTCTCTTCTGAAATCTTACCCCTTCTCAATAAATGCAAGGTTATTTTTACCTTTGTTCAGACCCAAAGCTTACAAAGCATCTTTGATTCCTCTCTATCATTATTCCATTAATATATCTGGTTGGATCTAATGTCAAATTTTATCAGGAATCTGATCACTTCTTTTTTCTACCACTAATTCACTTGTACAACCCACTACTGTCTCTCAGCTGGATTACTGTAGGACTGCTCTAATTTTTGTTTCTTTTCTCTCTTGCCATCTATCTACCCACCCAATTCTATTTTCCATATTGTAGTTAAAGTGTTCTTTTTAAATAGAAGTAAAATAGCAACTCTAAACCTTCCAACAGCAACTCATCTCATTCATAATAGAAGTGCATAAAATAGCCTGTGGGAACTAACATGAACTCACTAGAGTTCAGTTTCTGATCTCAACTCTGACCACTCATCCTATCACTCTGGTTCAACCACACTATCTTTTTTGATGGTCTTCAAACAAAAACATTTCTTCTTTTAAGATCAACTAAAAATACTCCTGCTTTTGCCTAGATTTCCTCATATCTTATAGCACTCCCCAAATTCATTGTTTTCCACTGAAAATAAAAATATTTTAGAAATTCTTCACTGACTACTGTATTTAAATTATCATTTCAAGCACCCTAAAACTGTCCCTTCTCTTACCTTGCTTTTACTTTTTCTCAGTAATCCTTACCACCTTTTGAATATGTTCCATTTACCTGCTTATTTGCTAAAAGAATATGTCCTCTTTCTTGAATTCGACTCTCAGAAGGTCATATCATTATGATATTATTTTGTTCACTGTTGTATTCCTAGAAGGATGCAGCAAACCTGAAAAACAGAATCCTTAAAAACATGTTGGATTGATTACATGAATGGAAAAAAAACATATAATGCATAGATACGAAAAACATATATAAATAGAAAGAAAAACAGATGAAAAGAGACAGAGAGGGAGATGAGGAGAAAGGGGTAGAGAAAGAGAGACAGAGAGAAATCAAGATAGTTTTCTTCCTCAAAGGTAAAGGTGTATAGTGTGTGCGTATGCATGTGTGTGTGCGTCTGTGTGTGTGTATAATAATGTGTGTATTATAATGACTTTTGGAAATTTAAAATATAAAGCCTAGGAGACCCAAAAATGGACTGTGAGGAATGAATCTTACTCTATTAAAAAGGTTAGAAGTGGGAGAAAAATAGGAGTTGATCTAAGTTGGAAAATAGTGTTTTGACTAAAAAAGAAATTAAAGCTAAGAAAAAAGGAACTGTACACAAGCACTGCATTTTAGTTGGTAAATTTGCTTCTCAAGGGGTGCATACTAAACATTCTAAAATTGCTTTATATGTATACTGAGAATGAATCAGCAAATGGATGCTGGATGGTGGAAGCCATGTTTCCCGTATTTGGAAAGGGATAACCAAAAACAGTAACTCAAAAGGCAAGGCTAGATAGAATCACATAGAAGTAGATTATAGCCAGAGATATCAGTATGAAATCATTCTTAGTTGAACACAGATGTGTAAATACAGAACCATTGATTGGTATCTGTGGATACATGTGTTCATATACAGAATATATTACCCAGCTCTCTCAGCTGAGATGTCCTATAAATTCACACAGTGCCAAGATTTTTGTTTCTAATATCATTGTTCAATAAAAGAAACTCCAGAATTCCTTGGAGAAATGGCTGATTATGAAGTTGAGATAAGGACATTTCGAGATGATCATAGAGCATCCTGTAGAACCCCAATTACAGAAGCATAATATTAAAACAAAAAAAAAGAAAAAAATGGGGCTTGAGGCATGTCACAGGTACACAAGGGGAATGAAAGAGCTTCCAATGCCAAAGCTGAAAGATTTGAGAAACAAAATAAAAAGTACAGTATTATATTTTAACAAGAAGTTGAAAAATTATACGAAATCCATACTGATATGTCAATTATTGCTTAAATAAATGGAGAAGATGCAAATCTGCTAGAGAATAATTTCACATAATCTATGAATATATGCATATCTTTAGGAGGAGGAGCATATTTAATCCCCAGCTCATCCTTTTGTGTGGAACTCACTTCCAAATAATAGAGTATGGAAAAGAAAAAACAGTATGAATGCAGTAGAGAAACCTATCAAACACCATCTTAACCAAGTGACCAGGTTTATCATCAGTGTTGTAATGTGGATATCACATAACTTTTATATGATATGACAAGATGGTCGTTTTACATATATAATTTTTTTCAAAATAATAATAACAATAATATCTACACTCTAATTATGAGGAACATCTTAAATAAATCCAAGAAACAAAATACCTAACCAGTTATCCCTGAAACTGCCAAGATTATGAAAAATAAGGAAACACTGAAATTCTTTCGCAGACAAGAAGAGACTAAGGAAACATGACAACTTAATACAATGTAGTTTTTAGTAGGTTTGATTTACATTTCTTTGATGATTAATGATGTTGAGTATTTCTTCCATACCTATTGGCCATTTGTATATCTTCTTTTGAGAAATGTCTATCCAATTGTAATGAGCTATCTTTTTACCCCAGTTAAAAGGGCTTGTATCCCAAAGACAGTCAATAACAGATGCTGACAAGATATAAAGAAAGAGAGGCATTTGTACACTATTGATAGAAATCTAACAGTATTGCCACTATAGAGAATGATATGGAGGTCTCTCAAAAAATTAAAAATAGAATTACCATGTGATCCAGTGATTCCACTGCTAATGAAATCAGTACTTTAAATCTGCATTCCCATGTGCACTGCAGCACTATTCACACTAGCCAAGGTATGGAATCCATGTAAATGTTCATCAACAGATGAATAAATAAAGAAAATGTGGTATATATACAAAATGGAATATCATTCAGCCCTCAAAAAGAATGAAATTCTGTTATGGGCAACAACATGGATGGAACTGAAGAACATTATTTTAAGTGAAATAAGCCAGGTAGACAAAGAAAAATATTGCATGTTTTCACTCATATGTGGGAGCTAAAAAAATATTGATCTCACGGAAATATAGAACAGAATGATGGTTAACAGAATCTGGGAAGGATAACGGGGAGGGAGGCAAAAAGGAGAAATGGTTGGTGGGTACAGATATAGAGCTAGATAGAAGGAATAAGACCTACTGTTCAGCAGCACAGTGGGACAACTATAGTTAACAATAATTTATTGTATATTTCAAAACAACTTAAAGAGCAGAACTGTAATGTTCCTAACACAAAGAAATGATAAATACTCCAAGTGATGGATATCCCAATTATTGTGACTTGGTCATTAAACATTGTACACATGCATCAAGATATCACATGTACCCCACATTTTAGTATAACTAAAAATAAAAATATAACAAACGCAACGTAGTACCCTGGATTGGTAACTAAACCACAAAAATCATGGAAAAACTGATGAAATTTGAGTAGTCCTGGATTTTGTCAACTGTAATACATCAACGCTGGTTTCTTAGTTTTGACAAGTATACTACTGTATAAGTACATGGTAATGACATTAAGGAGAACTGAAACTGGAAGAGGGGTGTGTTGCAACTTGCAGTACTACCTTTGCAATCATTATGTAATTAATTCAAAATAAAAAGTTTATTAAAAATATAAAGCAGAGCAAAGCAATAGATTGTAATATGGTGAGAAATATTGTAGTATAAATGATATCAAGAAATATATCTGGTTTCATTTGACCAGAGACTGAATGAATGAAGTCAGGGATATATAATTCCTCAGCTCTCTAGGGTTAGAAGGCTGTAGAAAGAAATACGAGTGCAAAGATTCTGAGTTAAGCTTCCAAATAATCTACAATTGTCATGAAAAATACATAAAGTGTCATTGGAAACAGCAAAAACTGAAAAATGGTTTCCCTGTTTTTGTAAACACATATCACTTTTTCTTTTATTTTTGGCTTACCACAGAAATTGAATCATTATATTTATTTATTTATTATTATTTTTTTTTAGAGGAAGTCTGGCTCTTGTCCCCCAGGCTGGAGTGCGGTGGTGCCATCTCGGCTCACTGCAACCTCCGCCTCTCAGGTTCAAGCAATTCTCCTGCCTCAGCCTCCTGAGTAGCTGGGATTACAGGCGCCTGCCACCACGCCTGGCTAATATTTGTATTTTTAGTAGAGACAGGGTTTCGCCATGTTGTCCAGGCTGGTCTGGAACTCCTGATATCAGGTGATCCGCCCGCCTCGGCCTCCCAAAGTGCTGGGATTACAGGGGTGAGCCACCGCGCCCAGCCTGAATCATTATATTTTTAAATAAAGAACACAGACTTAGGTACAATAAACTTCTCTATGCCCAGTTAATTATTAAATTCTATTTTAACATCTTCTTTTATTTTTGATTCTTATAACAAATAAAGAGAAAGTTGTTATCATTTTTGGCAATATAAAATGCTAAAATATAAGATGGTTTTTGTATTTCATATATACTTACATGACTTTAGCTTCTGTATTATCATTTCTTCAGAATTAAAACAAAGATGTTTATGTTTTTAAAGAAAATCTCCTTAAAAGATACACAGAGTTTGAAAACATTAATAAAGCCATATGTGTCTCTTGAAAATGGTTAATAAAATTTTCTATGCAGCCTGACTACTCACAAGATGCAATTGAAATCCTTGGGTATGAGACTACCCATAAATCCTGACAACTCAAATACAATTCCCAATGTTGCCTTATTTAAAACCTGAGGCATTTTAGCTATTCAGAAAGATTTGTTATTTAGTGCAACCTTATAAGATTCATATATAACCCTGTTGTTTATCAGTTAGGTTACAATCTGTCTTTTATAGAACAAACTAATATTCACAGAGGACAAAATTATCCCATGAATTTTGGATGGGCAAGCATGAAAAATAGAGAGGGTGTTTGCTGTGTTTGCTTAAATCGTATAACAGACTGCAAAATCTTGCTAAAATAGAAAAAATGTAATTTTAAGAGCTACTTAATGTAATATTGCTAACAGATTAAGTTATTTATTGATGAGGGGAGATGACTCACATCTGTAATCCCAATGCTTTGGGAGGCTGAGGTTGGAGAATCACTTGAGGCCAGCAGTTTGAGACCAGTAGTTTGAGACCAGTCTGGATAATACAGCGAGACTCAGTTATCTACAAAAAAAAAAAAAAAAAATCAAATAAAAAAATCAGTGGAGTGTGGTGGCGTGTGCCTATAGTCTCAGCTATTAAGGAGTCTAAGGTGAGTGGATCACTGGAGCCCAGAACATTGAGGTTACAGTGACATAAGAGCACCACCCCAGCTTCTTCCAGTTTCAGTTAACCCTAAAATTATTACATTATGTTACAGTAGTACCTTTGTCAAAACTAAGAAACTGATGTTGGTATATCACCATTGAAAAAATACAAGACTACTCAACTTTCACCAGTATTTCTATTAGCATTCTTTTTGTGCTCTAGTTATCAGTCCAAGGTACTACATTACATTTCATTTTTATTTGTACTAATTTATGAGTTATATGTGATATATTAATACATACATACAATGTATAAGGATCAAATCAGGGAGTGAGACCTTGTCTTCAAAAATAAATTAATTAAAAAATAAAATTTATTTATTTACATATTTTTCTGGGGCCAAAACCAGGTGAGTACAAATATAATGAATTGCATCATTGTTGCTGCATTCTTAAAATCTTCAAAACTTTATTTTTAAAATTACAGAAGAAAAATAGTATATATTCTGAACTAGTGATGCTCATGGTAAATTAATTCATAATAATATTTAAATTTTATCCAATTATTTAGTAAATAGTTTTAACTATCGCAGATCAAACTAATTACAGATGGTTTTGTTATATCTAGCTGTTGCTTTTCCTTCTCCTTGGTAAAATAAGGCTATACAAATAAGATGTTTAAAAATGAGACCAAATAAAAGCTACTAAAACAATCAGAGCACAAAGATATTAGGAGAATTAACAGGCAAGTGAATGCTTCTAATTCCCTGGGGGTTTGATTATCTTTTGTGAATTAAAGTTTCATAAAATCCAATGAAGTAAAAGAAAAGGAGGAATAAACTTGGTTTTGTTCATAACTTTGTAAATATAATTGTTACTTTGTTTCTATCAGTAAAAGTCACTGCACCTAAAGGATACCCAGGATGTCTTTACCATTATAAATACAGGACATTGGAGGTCACCATTCAGTAATGGGACACTGATATTTGACTTATTTTCAGAGTATAAATTAACATTAACCGACTTCATCTATAAAATGTCTGCTCCTCAATCTGCTCTTTGAAAAAGAAATATATATTTTTAATGCTAGCTTATTTTGTCTCAGAGTGAAACACATAAATACATGTTTTTGCCATAAGTTTGCACTCCTGATGGTTGGAAGATTTTTTTTTTTTTTTTTTTCCTGAGACGGAGTTTTGCTTTTGTTGCCCAGGCTAGAGTGCAATGGCGAGATCTCGGCTCACTGCAACCTCCACCTCCCGGGTTCAAGCAATTCTCCTGCCTCAGCCTCCCTAGTAGCTGAGATTACAGAAGCCCGCCACCACACCCAGCTAAGTTTTTGTATTTTTAGTAGAGACGGGGTTTCACTAGGTTGGCCAGGATGGTCTCGAACTCCTGACCTGAGGTGATCCACCCGCCTTGGCCTCCCAAAGTGCTGGGATTATAGGCCTGAGCCACCGCGCCCAGCAAGTTGGAAGATTTTTAGGAGATTCTAATAGACAAAATTATCTAGGGTAGTTTTATGTAGTTTCTATAGAGTTTTTATTTCACAGAGAAAGGAATTGAGGATTTAAGAGTGAAATGCCTTTCCCAAGGTCATGTAATATTTCCTAGAGGTGTCCGGAGGTAGACAACCTTTTCCTACCATAATAGTGTACTGTCCTACATGATATCCTAGGACTTAATGTTTGCAGTACGTTTTATTCATATCTTTATCTTCTCTTGTGTTGAAGGAGTTATGAAAGTTTGTAAAACTCTTTGTGCTTTCTATTCATATCAGAGACAGGCACTTCTGTGTCATTTGGTTCATTCAGTTCTGTTATCCCAAAATGTGAATTAACATAGCTAGCCACAAAAAGTTAAGTTTACCTAGTTTATTAAAAATGACATATATTATGTCTTTTAAAATATTAAAATTAAAACTACTTAAACATGATTGAAAAACTTTCCTCATGAATCAAATATAATGGTTTTTCTTCAGCAAATGATTTTGTGTGAATATATATATTTTATTCTTAAGGAAAATATAAAATATATAAAATTATTATATAGTTCCCCTTGATTATGAAGTTATGTTGGTATTACTGTAATGAAAATGAAGACTGGACTGCTAGCAGAATACTGTTAGTAATAATTAGCTACTAACTTTTTCAAAATAAGGAAATTTTTCACACATAACTTTTAGACAATGAAAAGGGCTGAGTAATGTTATATTTATTTTATCTCTAATATTTGATATGACATTATACAGTTTTATTAAAAACTGGTCACTGGGCCAGGCACAGAGGCTCACACCTGTAATCTCAGCACTTTGGGAGGCCAAGGCAGGCAGATCACAAGGTCAGGAGATCGAGACCAGCCTGGCCAACATGCTGAAACCCCGTCTCTACTGAAAATACAAAAAAAAAAAAAAAAAAAAAAAATTAGCCGGGTGTGGTGGCACGTGCCTGCAGTTCCAGCTACTTGGGAGGTGAGGCAGGAGAATTGCTTGAACCAGGGAGGTGGAGGTTGCAGTGAGCCAAGATCGCGCCACTGCACTCCAGCCAGGGCGACAGAGCAAGACTCCATCTCAAAAAACAAACAAACAAACAAAAAAAACAAGCAAACAAACAAACAAAAAAAACTGCTCACAGGTTTTCAGCAAGCTAGTCATTTGACATATCGTATTTTCCAATTTAATCATGCATGTTCTAATAATGAGAATAGCAAATCTGTTTTGAGACTTGTGAACATTTTTTTTCATGATGCCATGAGATGTATAAAGTATAACTGTGTGAGATTGAGCAGGGGAGAGTCTGATTAGTGATCTAGCCATTGGGCAAAAGCCTTTAACTCTAACTTTTCACTGTTAACACATCCGTGTTTGTTTGTTTATTTTGATTGTTTTGTTTTTTAAATTTATACTTTCTTACTCATCTCTTCTTTCGCATATAATCTTTTATAACAAAACATCTCTCTACTTAAAACATAAAGTCTTCATAATTATAAGCACCCAAATCACCCATTAATGCTTTTCTTTGCCTTGTTGTGCAGCCTGTAATTTTGTTCAAGAAGATAGAGAGTTCAAGATTTATGAGATACTTTTCTTCATCACATTTCTATTGAATCACTGAGATCTCCTTGAAACAGTGACAACTGATTCCTTTCATCGCGTATTTCCTCTTTCGTATCTCCACTTTGTTTGATCTGGGGAAATACATATATATGTGTGTGTGCATCTCCACTGCCTTACACATGCAAACTCAAAGACTAGTTTCTCTTAGGAGTAAATGCAAAACTACACACACACGCGCGCGCACACACACACACACCTGCACGCGCACACACGCACACATCAGATTGCTTTGTTATACATAGCCATTGCTTTTCCTTCTCATAAAAAAAGATATACCAATAAGACATTTAAAAATTAAACCAAATAAAAGCTCCTAAAACAATCAGAAGAAAAAGAGATTAGGAGAATTAATAGGCAAGTGAATTTCTCAAAAGAAAAATGTTCATGGGTTATTAAGGTACAATAACAATGTTTCGGCCACTAAATTTAACTAATGGGTAACCTAAATTTCAAAGCAAGGGCTTTTTTCTTTCATATTTTTTTTCCATTTAGTAAAAAAATACATATGAGGTCATGTTTTCAATTTATCTTTACTGGTTAAAATTCTTTTCAAGCTGCCTAATTTTGCAAGACTTACTATAATGTGCCAGTAGTAATGACAGTATGGCATTGATGAAGGAGTAGACAACATTCTTCATGGAACAGAATAAGGAGCTCAGAAATAGACCCATGGAAACATTGTCAACAGATCTTTGACAAGGGAGCACAGGTAATTTCATGAAGAACGGATGATCTTTTCAATTAATGGCTCTATAATCCTTAACCTTTGGCATTTGAGAATTGCTTGGTTTGTATTAATAATTTTTTTTTTTTGCAGTGAAGGACTCAAGATGTTATGCTGTAGATGGATGATGTAGTGATAAACCACTCTTCTGTATCTTTTGAGAATAGCTTCCTAGCATTATGTCACAATATTCACATATATAGATTTACTGAAAAAGCTAGTATGAATAAAATATTATTGGTTTTAAACCCTCAGAAATTATAAATAAAATAATTATAAATAAAAATAATAAGGTAGAGTCTCTATTCTTATATAATGTTAAAAATAATAAAGAGAGAAAACTTTAGACAAAACAGACACAAGTAACTTTTAATTATAAATGTTTCAAAATACACATCTATGAAGTGGAAGGCTCAAATAAGTTTAACTTAGCTGAACATCTGCTTAATACATGTAAAATAATGTTCAACACAGCACAATACATACTTAAATCATTAAAATCATAAATATTATGTACATAGCATGACTCTTTATAAAGTCTTGACTTTTATAAAGGAAATATAGCTATATTGCTTTGTGTTAATATATGATTGTCCAATTTTAAAATTTATTTTCTCCCCTACATTACAAATATCTGATTGTAATTCTATAAAATGTTGGAAACAGCATATATATGCTCTTTGGAAAAGACAGCACACACACACGTACACATGCACAAACACATAATTTTCAAAGTGAAAACAACATTTTAAGCTGCTTCTTCTTGAGTAGCTAATACTTTTAAGAATTCAAAAATGAGTCTGGCTTATTTTTAATTATAAACAGTGTTATCCTTGTTGTTTCCACATTCATTAAATGTATATTATAAAATTGCGGGATAACTTATTTTTTGTTACTAATTGTAATTCCCAATAAAATTGAAGGAAAACCTAACAATGTTCATTCATCACTTGGAATTTGAATATCCTGGCCATCATATGCAGTGTTTAACATGTAAACTGCCACCTAGAATTGAGTCTGGCTCATAGTTTAGCAAGACTTTTAAAGGGTTTGATACACCGTCAATTGTTCTTGTTTGCTAAATAGGTTTGTGAAGCAACAGAATCTGATCTGTGTTTCCTGTGTCTCAATAAAAGATGCTAGAAATATGCCACTTTAGAAATAAGTTATTTGCTTGAAATTGTTCTCCTGACCATCACAAACATTTCTATAGTTCCTTTCCTGATTCATTTATCGGTTCTAACCTTCTCTTTCACTGTACTTTCATGTGATTCTCTGATCAACATGATTTTCTTCCTCCCTCCCTCCCTCCTTTCCTATCTTTCTTTCTTTCCTCATTCCATTCCCCATAGTAACACTTAATATAGCACCATGCTAAATTACGTGTACAGAATTTCTGTACAGAAGACAGAAAGAGAAACCAAGGATTAATCCTCTCTTCAGTTAGTTTAGGGTTAGGAGTTAAGATGCTGAATATCAAATAAAATGTGAAACCTAGTAACTGTATATATCATAATTAGAATTTTAAATAAAGTACATTTTTGCCCATCTACCAACTTCAAATGTTTATTCTTCATACAGGAGTCACCTCACGCTTCATTTCCCAGTCTTCTAAGTTTGAAATATTTCTTCTTTGAAAAAATTCTCTAAGCTGTTTTACTTTCTCATTCAAGCAGTTTCTGAAATCCCATCTATCTATGAAATTTTTTAAAAGCATGACAAAGTAATAAACTATTTGGAAAAATATTATTTCTGAAATCATGATAAAAACATTATGAAAAAGTAAAACCTAGTCTATCACCCTCCATACCTAAGAGTAAACAAAAGAGAAAACTAAGCATTCTCACTTATGTGTGTGTAAGTATATATTTTGAAACTAGAAAGAATTAAAACTATATTTTAATTCATAAAATACATTTATTATCCTCCTCTCACTTTATTTTGGGTGCCTTTTCAGTTTTTCAACTCTGAATCCTTTTCTGCATTCAGAGAGGTCATTAATTTTGTGTTTTATTCCTGAACTGCTTTAGAGTTTGTCTTGTGTGCTGCTCCAACATTTATCGAGGTTTTCTTAGCTTTTCAGGTTCAATGAATTTGTGAAAGTTGCAGTTATGTGCATTTCCAATCTTTTCCTTTGAAAACCAAGGGGAATTGAGGTGGTTAGGGGCTGCAGGGCAGCAGTCAACTATTACAGTTTTAAAAATGTAATATAGTGTTTGCTCTGCTAAGGAAAGTAACAAGGGAATACAAAACTAGGTTTGCAGTTGAGTAGAAAAATATTGACTCCACAAAAGTAAATAGAAGACACAAAATACAGAACATTTCACAGAGCAATATTAGAGATTAGGTCAGCCTTCAAGTCTTTTACTACAAGCCAACTAAATTAACCAGAGGAGGCTGATGCTATAGGGAAGGACTCCAAGATTTTATCCTGTAGATGGTCTAATGAAAAACTCTTCTTTTTGATCCTTTTGAGAATGCTGTCACAATATCAGTTCATCTTATTGGTAATATATATATATATATTTATTGAAAAATGTAACATTAATAAAAGTTAACTGGTTATAAGTTTTAGTAATTTTAATTAAAAAGAAAGCTACAATTTTTTTCTGTATTTAACTTTAAACATGTAAAAAGTGAGAAAACACCCTGGACAGAAGGATGTTCTTTCTATATATTTTAAAAATACAAATCTATGCAGATTTACAGTAAGAGGCTTAAATGAGTTGTAATTCTATTCAACACACTCTTTACAGACTTAAGCTATTAACAATTAGGGATCTTACCTATTGTGCATTCATACCAAAACACAGTTTTTACAAACTAAGGAGGCACAATATGCTTAATCTTTTTTTTTTTGTAAAAGAATACTTTTTAAAAATTCTGACTTTTATGAGGCAAATGCTGTCATTCTATTGTTATATTAATCTACGTGTATCCATGGATCAATTTCTTTTTGGAAGTGGGCATTATTATATAAAATATTAGGAAGGAAGGCCAATAATAAAACAGTATCAACCTAAAAAATGAGACTAGGAACAGTACGAAATATAAAGGGAGTAATGAAACAAAGTTTGTTTCAGTATTTAGTACAGAACAACTATTTCAACAGAAGGAAAGGAATCATTAGGCTGGCCTTTTTGTGTGCATTTGATTATGTTGCCTATTGCCTGAAACATAATAAATATTCACTAAAAACTTATTAATCTTTGGGAAGAAGACATGACTTATACTATTAGCTCTGCTACCCCTTAGCTTGTAACATTGGACAATTTGTTTTCCCATTATGGGCCCTGATTTCTTTGCTACTGAAAAAAAAATTGGCCTAAATAACCATTAATGTTCTTTCCAAATACTAAAATTTTATGTTTATATAAACTTTTATGTGTATAAAAATATAAATATATTTTCTTAATTGTGTCTTAAATTGCTAAGAATTCATTTTGCTTTATTATCTTAAATAGAAGTAGTCTGCTTTCTTAAGTAGTGTATATTGGATATCCATTAAACATTTCAGGAAGACTTAGATCCTAATCATAAACATTAATTAGTTTTCTTCACTGTCTATCCCTTTGCTCTTAGCTGTTTATTTTACTTTCAACTTTAAGGAATGGCTATTTTATAATAAGTGAGCTTGAGTAAGCTTTTAGGCCTAGAGGAAGAGTGGAATGAGAAGATGTTATTTTCAACACAAAAAAGAGATAGATTAATATTCTGAATACAAGTTGAAGAAAAAACTTTGCAAGAGAGTTTTAAATTATTTTATTGTCATTTTTAAAATTGTCACATAACAATTGTACATATTTATATTGTGATGTTTCTATACATGTACACATTGTGCAATGATCAAATTAGTGTAACCAGCATTATTCATCATTGCAAACATTTATTATTTATTTGTAGTCAATATTTAAATTATCTTGTAGCTGTTTTGAAATATACAATATATTATTATCTATAGTCACGCTACTGTGCAATAGAACATCATAGGTTATTCTTCCTATCTAATTGTATCTTGGTACCTATTGACTATTATCTCCCCATTCTTGACTCCCCCAACTGTCCTAGGCTCTAGTAACCACTATACAATTGCTACTGATTTGAGTCCCTTATGTATTATTGATATTAACTCCTTGTCAGACATGTAGCTTGCAAATATTTTCTGTCATTCTGCACAATGTCTTCACTCTGTTGTTTCTTTTGCTATGCAGAAGCTTTGTAGTTTGATGTGATCACATTTGTCTATTTTTTATTTTATTGCCTGTGCTTTTATAGTCATATGCAAAAAATTCTTGCTAGTACAATGTCATGAAGTATTTTCCTTAGGTTTTCTTTGGGTACTTTCATAGTTTTGAGTCTTAAATTTAAGTCTCAATGAAGAACTCAGAAACAAATTCATGCATCTATAGGCTACAGATTTTTAACAAATATACCAAGAACACACATTGGGAAAAAAGAAGAGTCTCTTCAAAAGTGGTGCTTTTGAAGTGGATACTCCAAAATTGGGTATCTACATGTAGAAGAATGAAACTGGACCCTTATCTTTCACCTATACAAAAATCTACTTGAAGTGGATTACATTTTTTTTTACAAAAATTTTTTCAAAAGTATTTCTAAGGGATATGGCTTCAGAGTCCAAAGGTTAACGTGTAAGTGGAAAACAGCCATGCTTAAGACAATATGGAATGTTTAGAACTGTGGAAAGTGGGAGTGAGACAGACTCTCCTCAGGCCTTTTTGATTCAAATCTTTTAAATACTGCTCTGTTGATCAAAGGTACTGAATTTGCATAATTTCTGTGGTATTTTCTACTATTATACAAAATACTACCAGCAGTTGTTTATGCTCTCACACTGCTATTGTAAATAAATGACAGAAAATATTTGCAAGCTATATGTCTGACAAGGAGTTAATGTCAATAATATATAAGGAACTCAACTGAGTAGTAATTGTATTGTGGTTACCAGAGTGCAGGAGCGTTGGGGGAGAGAAAAATGGAGAGATACAAGCCAATAGGTACAAAGATACAATTAGATAGGAAGAATAACTTATAGTGTTCTATTGCACAGTAGCATAACTATAGATAATAATATATTGTATATTTCAAAATAGCTACAATACAGAATTTAAATGTTCTGACTACAAAGAAATAATAAATGTTTGCAGTGATGAATAATGCCAATTACCCTAACTTACTAATAATTCAAAAGTGCATGGTTTCACTGAAGAAGTCTAAGATCTACAGAGGTAACTTCTGATTATGAAAAAAAAAAAAAAAAAAGATGTTTTGTTTGTCTTTCACTCCAGGGCAAGTTTTGGCTCTGAGTGCAGGATGCCTGGTCAATGCAAGAGGAAACATTACTCCCACAGAGAAAGCCATTTCAATTATGGATCATTTTCCTCTTATACCCAATTCATTAATAACTTAGGTTATAATTTCCAGCTAGCTACGACCCTGTTAATGCATAAATTCCAGGTTTATTTACACAGAGAAAAGAAGGGCAGAACTCTATTAGAATTCTGTATCCCTTTACAACGTACACAAAACTTATGAGTGGAAAGACTTGCAAGTTGAAAGTTGGGAGTTAGGAAGACAAATGTAGAGTTTTAAAAATGCTGCTCACACAGAAAGAGTAGAGGAGTTATAGATTGTTTAATCTAAAACACATGACTCATTTAGGACTCAAAGTGTCTCCCTGAGTATTAAGGTTGCAAGACTGCTTTATTTTTCTTTCATTATTATTTTTTTTACTTTTACTGAAGAGAAAGTAAAATAAAATACAGTAAGTGACATTTAAGAAAGCACACTTGACTACAAGTACTGTGTCACACAAAATCATTTTTAAAGGGTGCTGTAAAAATCTCATTTTAGACATTGCTGTAGTGTAAAATCCACCTCCAAATTTGCACCAACCTCTCAGCCCTGCCATACAAAGCTTTTCGTAAAGTATGCGCTCTAAGTGCTCAGAGATACTTGATGATTGATTGAATAATATTAAAATGATGTCAATTAGTGCATTCAGAAACTTTAATGGACTGCAACTCTAGGTAAAACTTGTTTTTAAGTGGAACTTCTATAAACAAAGTTTTGAAATGAGTGCCTCTTTTTTTGAGATGAAGGAAATGTGTTTTATGTTCAGAATGTGTTAAAGAGAAGTATATACTACTTCAACCACTACATGTTATTCTTTATCTCTCATAACTAGAAAATCCATGAGGGAAAAGATATGGTTAGTAGATTTGTTGCCATATCTCAGCTGTTGCAATAGTGCCTGGAAAATAGTAAATAAATAGTATATAGATATCTAATTTTGATATTTTGTTAGTATCAAATTTTGAATTTTGTTGAGTGAGTGCATTACTGAATCATATGGAACAGTACTGGGGATTATTGAAAGGGTTTGTAACCAGTGACTTGTGAGGTATGTGGTAAAGAGTAAAGTTTTCCGAGGTTTCAAGTCTGGACAGCTGAGATGACACTGGTGTCACTAACAGTAACAACAACAACAACAAAACAAAACAAAAAAAACAGAATAAACATAGAAAGTGGAATAATTTTTAAATAAAAAAATAAATTCAGAATTACCTATATTGTAGTCAACGAGACTGCAAATTAGAAAAGTAAAATTTTCCACCAGTCTGGGGAAATCTAGAATAAGTTCAGAGCTAGTGATAAAGATTTTGGAGATATTTGCCTTAAGTGTTGCATTTCTAAAAGTGGATGGGCTTGAAGGAAAAAAACAAAGACAATAGGTTATTGCTTTAAAAATGCACATACACACACACACACACACACACACATATACACACAGTATACCTATTATATGTATATTTAGAGAGAGAGAGAAGATGAAAGTAAAATTGTACTAAAAGAAAAATAAGAACAACAACAGCAACAAAACAAAACAGTGTCATACAAGCAGTGAAAAAAGAATTTTCACGAGGAGAAAGTAGTCAACTCCATCAAATGAACTGGAATTATTTAAGGTCTGAAAATATGAATGGCAGCTTTCTCTCACCCCCAGTCTGAACCAGAAGCAGACAAATCAAATTGAATTGACCTTCTGGGTTCAGATATAATTTGGTACCTCTGTAGAAACTATTTTATTTGAGGAAAATATACCTAATTAAGTGTGCCGTCTTTACTGAACTTAATCATTTTTACATGCTTACAAATTTCAAATCCCCTATTACACCACTTTGAAACTCACAACTTCCTAAGTAGAGGTTAGTAATACCCACATTAAAATCTTGCACATGCACCAAAAAGCAAAATATGCTCATAAGTAGATTTCGTACGTGTGCATTTTAGTTGATATCAAGTTTATTGTATAAATGCAACAAACCCTTAAGGAATATGTGGTAATGTTTTCTGCTCTATTGCTAGAGGAAAAGTAAGTCTGTTCTAAATAAGTACAACATTTCCTCTCCTCCTAGACCAACCAGGGTCTTCTACTGATGGTTCCTCCCTCCTTGTCTTTTATATGAGTTACATCAGTTTTCCCTGTCATCATACAGCTGCTACTCTTTGATTAATCTACAGTGAGTTTTCTCCCTTCTGTCCTGTTAGCTGTTGCTTTCCCTCTTCATTGCACCTCGACTTTTTCACCTCTCATCCTTTGCCTGTCAGTTTTGTTCAGCTTCTTTCTCCATTCTTAATTTCCATAACTGTAATCCTCTTGTAGTTTTGGTCTGCTGATTTTGGATGCTTTGTATCTCTTTGTATGTGGCTTACTATTCTGCCCTATGCATCTACAGTGCATGTTTTTGTATCATGCTACTTTTTAAATATTGCATCAGGTCTGAAGTTTTACACCACAGAATATTATATTAGTACTTTTTCTCATTCCATTTTACTACTGAACTTATTCCCTTTACATCATATCACCCTACATTTCCTGGCATTTTACTGCTGTGAGTCCTCGGTCTTTGTGCAGTGCCAATGAATCAACATCCTTTATTGTACTAAAGCAATTTACAATGGCCACTAGTGAATTGCACTTTTTGGCTACTCCAGGGAAAGACTATCTATTCTTTTTTTTTATTATTATTACTTCTTGTTTCCACTAAGGAAAAATCACTCCATGTAGAAAGTGATAAAAAAGTAGAACCCAGATTTATTACAAGTCAGGAATAGTGATTTTTTTTCCTTTTTTATTTTAGCTTTTGATATAATTTAGTTGGGAAAAACAAAGATTCAGAAAATTAGCTGCAACCTCTAATTTGTATTACTTATTGTGCAACTGAGGCTATGTCATCATAACTTTAAAGCATAAAAATAGTAATTTCAGTTACTATTTGAAGGCAGGAATCTTAGTAAATATAAACAAATTGTCATGATTAAGCTCAATTTTTGTTACAGAATTGAGGCAAATCTATATGTGTCAGTGAGTATAATTAAAACATAGATTTCTTATGTTTTGATATTAAATTTTAGTCTGTTTCACAATATGTTAAATGTATTAGTTAATAAGAGCTAATAAGGCAACTTAAGAACAGTTGTTTGTTTTTTCCATTTTCTCCATATTACCAACCATTGGTTTTCTCATCTATAAAAGCTTGAAAATGGAGTTTTCTATGGTAATTTTCTTCTAAATCCATATTTCTTTTACTAATTTTCAAAATAGCTTTCAGTTTTGTTCGTGAAAATAACAGCCAGGGGATAAAAAAAATTATCTTCTGATCTTTTCTCTTGTCAGAAGATTTTGCAATCCTATAAATAAATATTTAATGCTATAGAAAGTTTATCAAAGAAAATTTTCTGTGAAAAGTACATTAATCTGAAAGGTTAACATTTAAATTTATTTAGACACATCTTTACTTTAAAATCAAAGCTCTTTATGGAATATAGCAATGTATCTAATCGCCAAATTCAGCTAACCCTTTCTGAAACCTATTATACTTGACCCCCTTTTTTGCGATGGCTTCACAACACATAACACTTCTCCATTGTTGATATTTTTCCACTCTCATCCTCCTTTCTTTGTGACGGGCCATTTTCAATGTCACCATCCAGTTCTACTAACATTTTATCTATGCAGTTATAATTTACGTATTGGTAATTCTTATGTTATCTCTCTATTACAGGCAGTTAGGCATGAGTGGGGGCAGAAGAGGGCTCTCCCTCAACCCACTAGAAATATCTGGTGATGGTTCGGCAATTATCGCATTGCCTCTCTAAAAGTGATAATTAGGCAGTGCCAGGGAGAAGCATTTCCCGATGGTCCACATCTGTTACCATCAAAATGTTAATTGAATGCAGGCCCCAGGGAAAAGCAACTTTCTGGGAATGCTTATTAAAATACAAAAATGGCGAAGTATAATCTTCAGGGT
This sequence comes from Homo sapiens, assembly GCF_000001405.40. NCBI lineage: Eukaryota > Metazoa > Chordata > Mammalia > Primates > Hominidae > Homo > Homo sapiens. The sequence goes on from NC_000013.11 coordinate 81,514,039, forward strand.
ACACTCCACCGGAAAAAGGAAGAAAGCCTCAGGTGGGCATGCCTATAGCTCCCTAAACACACCGGCGTACTTACTTTCAAAGGGTCAGGAGGGCTCGGCGCATGCGGGCAGACCACCCTAAGGGATGAATCACTGGAAAGAGGCAAGCTTATACAAATCCTAGAATTAGGGTTAAACCAGGCATTTGACCTTCTCTCTTTAACTCTCATGTACCTGATTGGGTCTTTTCCAAGTGCACCTTCCTTTCTTTCCTGTTCCAAGGTCTTTTAAAATAAACTTCCACTCCTGCTCTGAAATTTGTATGCAACCTATGGGTCGCTTTTTCTCCCTTAGGACCCTCAGTCAAATTCTTTCTTCTGAGGAGGCATGGACAGAAGTTGCTACGAACCCGTAAGGATAGGCCACCAGTAACACAGAATAACTCTGATCTCCTCCACCGTTAACCTATTCATCCCAGTTTCTCATCTTGCTCTCAAGATACTTCTCTCTGATGGTAAGTAAATCTGCATTTCTCATAACATACTAAAGGTTGAAATTAATCTTACTAGACATCCCCTCACTTAATTCCCCTCACTTTAAATCTGTTCCACATCCTAACTTTAACAATTGCACTGAGTTCCATCCAGTCACCTAACTCAGAGATCTAGAACTTTTCCCTTTCCCTCAGGCCCCCAAACTTGGGTTCACTATTTCAATAGATACACAAACTCCAATTCCTGCCTCAACAGTTACCTTGTTGCTCTACAGTACCTGATGCTTTTAGTGTGCTCCTTTTACAAGACAATCCATTCATGGCCTTCTACTAATCCTCTGAGTTTTTCCCTGTGGCCTTGTGGATGAAGAACAGATACCCTTGGAAGGTAGATAAGACCTTAGATGATCTAAGCTTCACTAACTCTCCAGTTATCTACTGCTAATTCCATTTTTTGTTGTATCCTTTTGACAAAGGCCATATAATTTATGTAATCCTGGCCTTTCGTTTTTGTTCATAGTTTTCAATTCATCTTCAGTGTTGCTCCAAAAAACCAAAAATTCTTATAAAAAGCTAATAAAAGTATATATATTTATTTTTCTTATCCTCCCATAAATGCTAAGGCTGTTAATTACCTCCTTTTTTTCTGTGTCTTGTATTCATCTCTAGGAAAGATTGTTCAGATGAAATATGTGTGTTTTAATAACCCAAATTAAAGGGCAAAGATCTGTATTAAAGTTGCTTTGAGTTTGATTTCTATTTATATTATTTTCTTCTACAATATATACTTAGACTTTTATAATTATCTATTTTGTGAAGAGTCTTCATGTTATATTTGTAAATGCTGAAAAATATTGTCATGAGGATATTCATCTTTCCCTGTGTTATGTGTCAAAATTGTGTAATTAGCATTTTATATCATGTATTGCCATTATCCGTTGGTGAGTACCTATATCATTCTAAGTTAAAAATTTCCAAATACCTGTTTCATGCAACAACTTACAAGCATTTTCCATATTCAAATATGCTTGGGAAATGCTGAGGTAAAAGTTGATAGATGTTTTTACTGTAGGGAATCTTTGAGCCATTATATGCTGCCATGCATTGTAAATTTTCCAGAGCAAGATATACAATAATACAATGTTTCACAAACTTATTTGACCAAAGTATTTTTTTGTTGTTGTTGTTTTAAGGAGCGGAGAGTTTAATAGGCAAGAAGCAAGGGAGAAGACAGAAGGAAGAAGCTTCCCCATACAGAGAAAGAGGGAGGAGGGCTCCAAAGCTGAGAGAGGAGGTACCCGCCTGCCAAGGATACCAGCCAGGTATATATGCCGAGGCTGGAGGAGGCAGTGTTTGATTTGCATAGGGCTCAGGGGATTGGTTTGACTAGCCATGTCATTCATGTAGCCTGAGAAAAAGCTGGCCCTCCCACCCTAGCCTTTTTTTTTTTTGAGATGGAGTTTCTCTCTGTTTGCCCAGGCTGGAGTGCAGTGATGCCATCTCAGCTCACTGCAACATCCACCTCCCAGGTTTAAGTGATTCTCCAGCCTCAGCCTCCAGAGTAGCTGGGATTACAGGTGCCCACCACCACGCCCGGCTAATTTTTGTATTTTTTAGTAGAGGCAGGGTTTTGCCATGTTGGCCAGCCTGGTCTTGAACTCCTGACCTCAGGTGATCCACCCACCTAGGCCTCCCAAAGTGCTGGGATTACAGGCATGAGGCACTGCACCCGGCCCACCCTAGCCTTTTAATATGCAAATGCAGGGCCCATGGGTGTTCTACACACATGGGGATATGTGGGGGTGGCCATGTTGCCAGGAACATGTGGGGAAACGCCAAGAAGGCTGTAGGAATCACCATGTTGGGTGGATCCAGGTTCTAATGGCTAGCATTTGCAAATCAAAGGTTGCCAGCCTGGGTCTAAGAGCCGGGGCTTTAGAAGAAACTTTTCTGGAGATGCTTTAAAAAATGAAAACTTCCCAATACCCCTTTTCCTCTCCATCTGCCTAAAATAATTTCTTAGTAACTCCTATAACATTCCCCCCTGTGGAGATGCCACACTAACTGCTGTTAGGGGATTTTGGGTGATGACTCTTTCTGGCTACTTTCTGCTGAAAAGGGGTGTGGAATGGGGAACAGCACCTAGGGTTCCTCCTGGGGATGATCTAAGGGTCTTGGAAGAATGGCACGTCCATGTGTGGTTCAATTTACAGCACCGTTTGGAGTTTGATTGCTTCTAGGTGAGAAGAGACAGTTTGAGTTATAGTATTGAGTGTACAGATTCCAAATGTTAATACAAGACATATAAGCAAGAAAGAGGCTAATAAAGGGGCTAACCAGTTTTATAAAGAAAACTGGAATTCATTAAAGAGGGATTGTAGCCACCTGGGGCTGAAGCTGGCATTTTCCCTGAGCCTGCCAATAATTTTGATTTGATCTTTAAGTACCTGTAGATTTTCCTTTACTATACCAGAGGTGTTAATCCAAAAGCAGCATGTTTCATTTAAAAGTGCATCACTAGACCCAATAAAAAGTCTTAGCAGACTCAGTGATAGTAAAACTTTCAAGCTTCCTTTTTGTTAGTAACTATTATCCCTGCTATAAGGATAATAATTAAACAAAATATGACAGTGATAGAAACTTTCTGTTCAATATTTCAGTTAGAAGGTGCTACTGTGTATAATCCTATTGCAAATAGTAGAGTGAGGACAGCAGTTCCCACATATACGTTGTGACAGGTAATTTCCACATATGTGGTGTCATAGGTAATTTCCATCTAACATTTTACTTGGCAAGATATAGAAGTCTCCTTTGAAGGTCTATAAAGTTCCTTGGTTTTATTTTCCCAAACAAAGAAACCTCTGGGTTATGGGCACCTTATTCACTTTCATTACCTGGCAGAATTTGCAAGATAATTGCCCAGAACTAGCATACTGATTCACATTTGTACGTTACCCATCCTTTTTTTTTTTTTCTCCGAGCTGCAGAAGATCACCACTCGACTCACAGGAAATAGCAGGGTTAATCTAAAATGTAGTCAAAAAGCTTAAAAACAGTTAACAAGACAAGGATTTAATGACAAATGTATGATAAGCTTTGGAGCAAAATTTTTCTCTCCAGTCCTCATTTTTGGCAAAAACTAATTATGAATAAATGTTAGTCTTATACTTGGGCTGATTATTTGCATAAAGTGCAGCAAGAATGTTTATTTTTACATAGGCCTTTTGGATTGGCTTTGATAAAACTCTGTTCCATAAGGAATTTCAGATAAGACTTTTAAAGCTGAGCCCAGCCATGGGTTTGTATCCTCCAATACCTGTGAGTTGGGTAATCCTCTCCTCTTGAGGTCCCAAGATAAACTCAGAGCTTCCAGACCTGTTAGAAAGTGACATTCTTTACTGACCACAGGTTAGGAACCCTGTGGGGGGACAATGTAGACAAGGTATGAAGCCAGTTCTCCCCAAGGGGCTTATATTGGCTCCGCAGGTGAAGCTTGATTCCTTAAAGGAAAACACACCCTTTCGGTCAAAGCCTTGGTAAAATAACCAGTTTTTCCAATTGTGTTCTGTTGACAAAGAAAAATGGATTCTTATTGCACTGATGCTAACAACTATATTGCCATAAGTTAAGAGTACTCACAGATAGTCTCCAAATTTTAGAGGAACCAGGCAGAGAAAAATGAATATGCTCCAAATTTTGTTCACGGTAGTATACCTTACTTAATTATTAAAGACCATAAATCATTTAAAATAAGTTTCCCTGACTCTGAAAAACAAAACAAGAATCAGCAATATTCCAAGCACAACTTAAAAAGGTTGCTTAAACTGGCCAGGCACGGTGGCTCACGCCTGTAATCCCAGCACTTTGGGAGGCCGAGGTGGGCAGATCGCAAGGTCAGGAGATCGAGACCATCCTGGCTAACACGGTGAAACCCCGTCTCTACTAAAAATACACAAAAAATTAGCTGGGCGTGGTGGCAGGCGCCTGTAGTCCTGACTACTCCGGAGGCTGAGGCAGGAGAATAGCGTGAACCCAGGAGGCGGAGTTTGCAGTGAGCCGAGATGGCGCCACTGCACTCCAGCCTGGGAGACAGAGTGAGAATCTGTCTTAAAAAAAAAAAAAAAAAAAAAGATTGCTTAAACTTTCTGAGTGCAGTTCACTTAGTTAACTTTTGTTTTGTTTGATATTTATGAACATGTCAGTTCTTTAGGAGTCCTGTACATTCTTTCTCTATTCCAATGTTATAATCTTCAAAGCTATTGAAAACCTGAATTTGAGAACACCTGTTAGAGTCCTTAGTATAGGTTGATTATAAACCATCTTTTGAGAAGGAACGAAGCAAGACAACAATTGTCTGTGAATGACATTTCCAGGATAGTTACAGTTAAAAATATGACTGACAAAGAAGTTTGTTTATCTCCATGGTTTACAATAACTTTACCCTTAATTATGATTGATAGCATATACTTAGACATTAGAATTTTAGAAATCCCATACAATTTTGGAACATATATTAGTATCATTCACCAAAATATAACCTAAAGAAGATTGGACATCATTTTGGCAATCTCATGTGACTAAACATGTCAGATGATCCTATTTACCTCTTCTCTGAATGTTTCAGGGGCCCTCTGAACCATCCATAAAACCAGGCATTAGGAAGAACAACTCCCAGATTGCCATAAATTATTTTGCCAAAATGATGACTCAAAGGGCAAAAACCATTTGTTAGCCTTTATTATGACATGAAAATCCTGTTTATAGCCAAATTTTACTCTTGTATTAGTTTGTTAATGTTAACACGAATTTGTTTAAATGAAACCTTATAGATCATTCCATCTAATCCTAACCAACTTGATCATGAGGTGAAATTTCTACAAACCTTTTTACTAAAGGGCAGATTAGTGTCTTAAGACCTCATTTTATTTCAATGCTTAATTTATGAAAAGACCATATAGATATTATGGGAGAAGATGGTGTAGTGCTTCTACCATGCATTTCATTGCAAGGCAACCCAAAGCCAGTTGGCTTATTTTGGAATAAGCCCATCCCTTGGCCAGGCATGGTGGCTCATGCCTGTAATCCCAACACTTTGAGAGGCCAAGGCAGGTGGATCACGTGAAGTCTGGAGTTTGAGACCAGCCTGACCAACATGGAGAAACCTCATCTCTACTAAAAATACAGAATTAGCCAGGTGTCGTGGCACATGCCTGTAATCCCGCTACTTGGGAGGCTGAGGCATGAGAATCGCTTGAACCCAGGAGCCGGAGGTTGCAGTGAGCTGAGATCGTGCCATTGCACTCCAGCCTGGGCAACAAGAGCAAAACTCCATCTCAAAAAATAAAATAAAATAAAATAAAATAAGCCCATCCTTGATGGGAGTCTCATCTCCCAGTGGGGGATGTGGATGTTTTCTTATTTTCCAGATGGAAATTAGATAACACAATGCAAAACAGAACAGAGCCTTTGATTTTGGGAGGGAACTATAGACTTAATCCCTGGGGTTTCTTGAGGAAAACAGAGGGTATTTTTTCCCCAAAACGGGGTTTGTGGCGCCCCCTCTGTTTTTCCCAAGGAGTCCCATGCTACCAGAAGTTATCTTAGGGCCTCTTATGCATGCATTAAGAGTGATAGGACAAAAAAAAAAAATGGAGAAAAATAATTAAGTCAACTGAGAAGAAAAGAACCTTTTTCCAGAAAACAAGATCCAAGAAGAGAAAAACATAAAGACTTTTTAAATATACCTATAACTTGAATATTCACTCTTAATTAAGCTGAGCACTCTTTAAAAAAATCTTTTTAAATTCCTTACTATTTGACTTTAGCCGTGCCAAACACTTAAGATTTTCAGCTTTTAAACTTTACGAAAAGTAGCCTCACAGGTGAAACCAACAAGCCTTAATTAGGGTATGACTTAATGGTGAGTGTACAAGGAATTTTCAATGGAGTGATAGGCAGCTTTTGAAACTGTCATTGCAAAATTGTGACTGAGACAGTGAAAGAGACCGGACCCAAACAATGTCATTTTGTTTCCAGCCCCCAAGCTGTCCTTGCCCATCCCTGGGCATAGGCTGAACCAACTTCGGGAGGAGCCTGGTTTATAGTTTATAGTTTAAAACAAAGATGATGTCAGCTGCTTCCCAAGACATACTTCCCTTTTGCCTGGGGACCAGACCAAGAGACTAGCCGCAGGATTACAAACCATGGCCCAGGAGCCATGCAGCTGGAGGCTACAAGATTTTGACCCTCCCTAAACTGCTCTCATGATCAGTGCTTAAGATATTTTGTAAACCCTGCCCTTGATGGATCAGCTGGCACCACCTAGATTGACAGACTGGCTTATCTGATTTAGTACAAGAAGATAGCCACCATTGTAAAATCGCAGAGACTAAAACAAAGTATTGCCACATGGTTACAGATTATATTCCCAAGGACATGAAACAACTGGTAAGAAATTTTTGCCCTTTTGCCAGCATATCAGGCTTCTGGGTTCCCTTTCTCCTAGCTCAACTCTATGCCAAGCATTTTAAGGTTTGGAAAATTAACTTTTCCCAGGTTAGAAGAACATTATAAAAGAGATAGAAGCCATTTTAAACCACAAAAGAAGAAAAAACACCATAGAAAGAAGTTCCAATTAGGGTTGTTAAGAGGTAATACCTCTCTTCCTATTGGGAATGGTGTTTCCTCTATTTCTTTGCCTTCCTATTTTCTCTTTTCCCTTCTGGCCTACTACAGGAGACATACTGCTCATCTCCAAAATTTTCTTCTGCTTGCAGAGCTGCGTGTTTTAGCTGCAGTGAGGGTTGGACTTAGCAGCAACATAACATCTCTCCATGTGAGGTCAAATACCTGAATTAAATTTTGGAAAGCTTCTATATACCTATCAGGCTTGTCAGAAAATCAGCCTCAGTTTCCTTTCACTTGCCTAAGGTCCTGGAATGAGAAGGGAACTTGAAGGGGCCCCAAATAAGGGGCACCTTGAGATGACTTCCTTGAAAGTCACTTTTTTAATTTTGGGGAACTGTTTTCCCTGGGCCTGCCTGATATGGCTGCAAAAGAAAATAAGCCACTTTTTCTTCAAAGTTTCAAGGTTGAAGGAGTCCCAGTGCTTCAAAATACACTCCACGGGAGTGCATGTTGAAGATTATGTTACCCATATAGAAAGAGAAGTGAGAATGAAAGCATCCTTTTGGTCTCCTTCCTTTTGGTATGTGATCCAGGATGGAGATGAAAACATAGAGGGCGTCCCCCCAACTATTTCCTCTCCATCGCTCCTGTAGTCCCAGCACCTGCTTAAATGTGCCACCCATGACTGCAGGTGTGACCCTCCAAGCCATTGCACCAGAGGAACTGACTTTTAGGCCTTTGTCGCACTGTCCCCAAGCAATCAGTCCTCTGCCTTTTCTTTCCCTTTGACCTCCTAGATTTGTGTGGCCCGTGTGCCTTCCAAAAAATGGATTTCAAAAAAACACTACGTAATTGGGCAAGGCCTCTTTAAGGGAGGGGGTGTGCTAGATTGAACTCTATATCCTGCTATTATAGCCCATGCTAAAGCATTTACCCATAGAAGAATGGTTCCAGTTAATTTCCGGACTTAAAATCCCCTTACGAATTAAGTACTGTCTTAATAGGAGACAGAATAGATGCCTTAAAAGAACATAGGAATCGAATGACCATTTTCCTGCTGGTGAGACAATATTGAGACTAAAATTGAGCTATGGAAGACCTCTTACTCCTAACTGCTAAAGGCAGATACTTCCCAGAAGAGGCCTAGAGCCCAATTTCTACTAGGTGGCTTAGAAATACAATGTGCTTGGCAGAGAAAACAGACAGAGAGAGAGATTTATTGAGTTACTGTCTGCCGTGATTCATGATCTTTTCTAACAGACCTGTTTCCCTGAACTGTAAAGATCCCTCTACATTAGATACACACAGAGAGGGTAAGAGACCGCGGATAAAAAGGGAGAGAAAGTTTGGCAACAGGGTAGCTGGAAGAGAGCCTTGAGATTAAAGGACAGATTTAAAGTTGAAATCCACTCCATACTCACTAGAGGATGATTCAATTTCCTTTCCCGTCCAATGCACCAGAATGATACGGTTCTGATGAGTGGAGGAACACCAGGGTTCTTGGTCCTCATGCTGGTTTAGATAAAACGACATGGACACACATGGAGTGGTTTTAAGGAGCAGAGAGTTTAACAGGCAAGAAAGAAGGGAGAAGACAGAAGGTAGAAGATCCCCCGTAAAGAGACAGAGGGAGGGGGGCTCCAAAACTGAAAGAGGAGGTCCCCGACCAAGGTATTTTTTAATGGCAAATATTACCTTATATGAAATGAATGCCTGAAAACTATTTTTTTTTTTTTTGACAGAGTCTTGCTCTGTTGCACAGCCTGGAGTGCAGTGGCATGATCTCGACTCACTGCAATCTCCACCTCTGGGTTCAAAGCAATTCTCGTGCCTCAGCCTCCAGAGTAGCTGGGATTACAGGCACTCACCACCATGCACAGCTATGTTTTATATTTTTAGTAGAGACAGGGTTTCACCATGTTGGCCAGGCTGGTCTTGGACTCCTGACCTCAGGTGATCTGTCCTCCTCAGCCTGGCTACTATTGTCATGTATCAAATCAATACCAGTTTTGAAAATGTTGATCTAATTTTCAACCTTGTTTCTAAACTGTCAGAAGATATTTTCTAGGCTAATTCAGTTAATGAATACTATATGTCATATAAAGCTATGCTTCCACAAAAAGATAAAATTAATAGAAAATAATGCCAAATATCAATCACCTTCATGTTTTGGAAGTGATTAGAAGATTATTCCTCTTGCCATTCTTGATGATCTTATGACTGACCCTTGAACAACATAAATTTGAACTATGCTCTCCCACTTATATGTGGATTTTCTTCCACCTCTGCTGCCACCCGAGGTAGAAAGATCAACCCCTCCTATTCCTCCTCTTTCTGTGCCTACTCAACGTGAAGATGATGAGGATGCAGACTGTTATGAGGATCCGCTTCTATTTAATGAATAGTCAATATAGTTTCTCTTCCTCATGATTTTCTTTATAGCATTTTGTTTTTCTCTAGCTTACTTTATTGTAAGAATACAGTATGTACTACATATACAAAATATGTGTTAATTGATGGTCCACACTGTCAGTAAGGCTTCTTGTCAACAGTAGGCTATCAGTTGTTAAGTATTCAGGGAGTCAAAAATTGTACATGGATTTTCAACTGTGCAGATGGTCAGCACTCCAATGCCTGCATTGTTCAAGGGTCGACTGTATTTATTAAGGGTTATGGGTTTTATGAGGAGGAAAAGAGCTGAAGAATAAGGACATCTGGTTAATGAAATGAAAGCTGTAATTTATCTAAGCCTCTGCATGCTTTGGTATTCCTAGGTAAGAGTGTTCTATCAGTGGTGGCAATATCTATTGGTGATCAGGTAACTAATGGAAGATTCTGGTCTTTGGAAGGTGGTGGAAGTGATGTCTTTCAGAGTGGGTGATGAAATGGTGGTTTAGAATTGAAGAGACAACATCCAGCAAAGTACAAATGGGTTGCTCCGTTTGATCCTGGAGGATATCTTCATGATCTGTGATATTCTGAGGACTCTAAAAATAACCTAGAATATAAGAGAATGGAAAAGTCCTAAATTGAATAGATAGGAACAAAAGTGAATGGACTTGGGGTTACTCCATTCAATATATGCTATTGGAGGCCCTGACTGTGCCATCCATTGTTCTAGGCAGTAGCAATACAGTAGTGTTTAAGATATGACCCCGGGCCTTAGTAGCCCTGAGTTTGGAGCCTAATTTGTAGCAACAAATTGGAGAGCACAAAAGGAAATAGTCATATGGAAATAGTTACAATTCATAGTTATAATGAATTGTAAATAAATGGTCTTAATATTGCAATGAAAAAAATAATGTGTATGTTTTAAAGTTAATTTCCAGATCATGTCTCTCCTTTGAATAAAATTGTCTAATTTCTATTCCAGTTTCCACAAATGTGGTATTTCTCTCATAACACAATTTTCTTTCATACTAATACTTTAGATTTTTTTTTTTAATCTCAGATTTTTGTTGTGGGAAGTCAGGGACCCTGAACGGAGGGACCAGCTGGAGCCACAGCAGAGGAAACATAAATCATGAAGATTTCATGGACATTTATCACTTCCCTAATAATACTCTTATAATTTCTTACACCTGTCTTACTTTCATTTCTTAATCCTTTTATCTTCGTAAGCTGAGGATGTACTACATCACTTCAGGACCTTGTGATGATTGTGTTAACTGTACAAATTGATTGTAAAACATGTGTGTTCGAACAATATGAAATAAGTGCACCTTGAAAATGAACAGAATAACAGTGATTTTAGGGAAGAAGGGAAGACAACCATAAGGTCTGACTGCCTGCAGGGTCGGGCAAAAAGGGCCATATTTTTCTTCTTGCAGAGAGCCTATAGACGGACATGCAAGTAGGAGAGATATGGCTAAATTCTTTTCCTAGCAAGGAATATTAAGACCCTAGGAAAAGAATTGCATTCCTAGAGGGAGGTCAATAAACAGCCGCTCTGGGAATATCTGTCTTATGTGGTTGAGATAGGGACTGAAATATGCCCTGGTCTCTTGCAGTACCCTCAGGCTTACTAGGATTGGGAATTCCACCCTGGTAAATTTGAGGTCACACCAGTTCTCTGCTCTTGAACCCTGTTTTCTGTTGATTAAGATGTTTATCAAGGCAATACGTGCACAGCTGAACATAGACCCTTACCAGGAGTTTTTGATTTTGCCCTTTGCCTTGTGATCTTGCTTTGCCCTTTGCCTTGTGATCTTTATTGGCCTCAGAAGCATATGATCTTTGTTCTCCTTTTTGCCCGTTGAAGCATGTGATCTTTGTGACCTACTCCTTGTTCTTACACCCCCTTCCCTTTTGAAGTTCTTAATAAAAACCTGCTGGTTTTGTGGCACAGGTGGGCATCACGGACCTACAGATATGTGATGTCACCCCCAGCGGTCCAGTTGTAAAATTCCTGTCTTTGTACTCTTTCTCATTATTTGTCAGACTGGCCGACACTCAGGGAAAATAGAAAGAACCTACGTTGAAATATTGGGGGTGGGTTCCCCCGATAGATTTTGATGACTATTCCATTTCTTACTGAATAACATCTCAAGATCCAGGTAAAAAGACTACAAAAAAAGATATTTTATTTTTTCAACATACAAAATTAAGCAGATTTTGGTAGAAGGGCTATTTTGGGAATTGATTTGGTTTTGCTTTGTTTTATTTTAACCCAAAATTAATATCATAGTTATTATGTTTTTAAAACTCATGCCTTTCTTTATTAATAAAACCTACATATATGTAAATATAATTTACTTAGGCTGTCCATGTGTTATTATGACTTTTGACAATTTATAAGAACTCCTAAACTTTAAGTTGGTTATTTAAAACCTTCAAGAATGTTTTCTGAAATAAACTGTCAGTATATGTATTCATACACTTTGAAAGAAGCAGAAATGGGAAGAGAGTTACAAAGGAAATACAAATATTGTAAAACTAATATATTTATTTAAGTTGTTCCATGTATTTAATATTTGGTGACTGTTTATAAATAGTAATAACCTATTACCTAAATACATTAAATTCTTACTTTGACACTCAAGACATTTCAATAAAAAAGATATGTTTGGATCTTCATGGGGGATAAACTCCTGAAATATCCAATGTTTTTGTTATAGACGATATTGCTAATTATCATTAATATTTGGGATCTATAGCATGGACTCTAAAGCAAAATTTGATGGGCTTAATTCTGGGTACATGTACAATCAACCTCCTGAGTAATAATATGCTTCAACTTTATAATGCATTTTAATTTGCAAAGCGCTTTCTTTTGTATCTAATAGTGCTACCACTATAGCTCAAAAGCAATTTCATTCTTGTAAACAGGTAAATGTATGCTTTACTTTTGTAAAACAATTATACTGTTTTTCAATATCAATTTTATTTAAATGACACACTGTCTTATTTAAATAAATAATATTGTATTTGGCCTTCAAGGAGCATGGCTTGAGTCTTAATAAAATTAAGCAAAGCAATATTTCACTAAAAAGGATTTAAATGTATTGTTTTCTTTAATGTCTGCATTTTTATTCTTTTAAATTTGTATTCTTGGCCCTGCATGATACATTTACAACCCTGTAGCTATTAATATAATATTCATGTTATATGGGGAATAAGGCAAAACACATTTGAAATGGCAAGTGTGTTTAAGAGCCTCATAGGGACATTGATATCTATCTTCTCAGAAATGAAAGTTTATTTTATTTTATTTCTGTTTCAGCCTCTAGTTTGTAGCAACTCAGCATTCTGCAAAGACTCTGCTCCAGCTGGGCAAGTAACCTTGTTATTGCATACACAGGTAAGTCAATTATACATTTTGCAAAGAGTACTTTGTCACAGGCCTCACTATAAATAGCAATGAAGTAGCTTGATTTAATTGAAATAATGTGTAACTTCTTTTATATAATTGGATTTAGTTTCTAGTCCTTGTATCTGACTAACAGTAAAGCATATTAACATAAAAATTTATTATTTAATAATTTCTACATATGTTTGCTTATGTGAGAGTAGTACTAAGCAAAAAAGCCTCAGGGCCTCAAGTTCCAGAGAGAATAGAGTAAGAGGCAGATGATGCTCAAACGTACCTCCTCACATTTACTCAGATGTTTTGGATACTGTTTGGTGCTTCTTGGATTTTTCTTTCTTCTTTTTTAATCTCAAAATTTGACTATAGCAGGAAATTTATTCTCTTGTTCTGATCATCCTTTAATCTCATATTTTCTTCTTCCCATGGTCAAAACCCTTATATTGTTATTATAATATGAGTATTTTTGTATTGCTAGAAATCTTAAGCTGATTTTCTGGTCTTTAATATCTCTTCCTTCCAAAGACTCATTACCAGCAAGTAATTTTTATTAAAATACTGTTTTAATTAAATGCATTTTAATCCATATTGAACAGCAAGTGAACCTTTAAAAATATTATTAAATAAAATTATCTATCTTTTACAAACTATCTATCTATCTATCTATCTATCTATCTATCTATCTATCTAAAACACTTCTGTGTTTCTCCTAGGTCTTCAATAAGTACTAAGCAGCTCAAAAATTAAAGAGAAGAAAGGGATCTGCAATAGTACATTGCAATAACGTGTTATTAACAATAATACCTGTTTCAGAAAGAAAAAAAACAAAAATATGTTAGAACAAAACATGAAAATACCAAAAATAGCAGAAAAAACCTGATAAGAACAACCACCTGAGCATAGGACAGATGTCTTTCCTCATCATCTTGGTACCTGTGGTAGATATTACCACTGTTTGCCAATGTCTTGTTCTCCTCTATTTCCTGGCATATTGGAACATAACAGGTACCTTGATAACGTATGGCCAAGTGATGTGCTCTGCCCAATGAAATCTGAGTAGCAGTGATATATAGCACTTTCAGGTAGATGCATTTAAGAAGCAGTTCCAATGATTCCAATGATAGACATGTGCATAGAGTGAGAAAATAGTAGAACATAATGTTTTGACAATATTGATGTTTTGGAGTTATTGCAATCTGATATAGTACCCTGAAGTCTACTTTTCAGCACATTGGTAAGGGAAGAATATACATTGTTTACTGCTTTACCTATTTTTTGAACCTAGTATCGATGTATAAAATATAAAGGCGATGACATTAAATCAATCAAATAATAAACTTGAGAGAGAGGAAATTGTACAGAACTTCTACAGAGTCTCTTATTTTTGAAGTGATAATCTGATGTAAAAGCTATATGTAATAAACAATCTCAATCATTTCCACAAAGAAGCCAGAGTTGACCAAAGCACTTTATAACTGACATCAAATATCACCATTTCACTTTCATTTGCTTACCCATTTATTGCATGAGAGAAACTTATTAAAATGTGGAAAATCATAAAATAGAATGACACATTTTAGACACCCTCTATTAACTAGCAAGGTGAATCATAAATCTTGTTTACAGTGCACAAGTCTTAGATTGAGTCAAATATTTGGGAAGCCTTTTCATCAACAAGGTAAAATCAGAAACTGTAGTTATTCATTTTTCATACACTCAAATTCCTCGAGGTTTTGTTACAGGGAAAGGTATAAGTGTAAAAGAGGCTAAAAACCTGAGAAAGTAAAGGAAGAGAAAAATGAGATAAAATGCTATATGTTGACTGAAATTTCCTTTATTTTATATAGATCAGTAAACATTTAAAAATATAGTTTTACAAAGTTATATTACCTCATCCATCAAGTAAAAATTACACACACATATGCACACACACACACACACACAGACTTAAAATGAAGATGTGTGTAAATCTATTCCAAAAATTTTAAGGAAAGTTAGCAATATGTGGCAAACTTATTAGGTCACTTAGTTTCAATATTTAAAAAATGAAATTACTATAAATGATCTAAATAACTAATATGTAATGAAGTTAATATTTGATTTAGACATATTTCCCTTAAGCTGCAAGCATGCTTAGACAACATTCTAGTTTTTATGCTTGCAGAAAAGTGCTCTGGAGCTAGTTAGCCTGGTTAAAATGCTACAGCACTGCTTGTCAGCTGTGGGACCTGGAGAAGTATATTTCACATCCCTACTCTTTGGTTTCCTTGTATGTTGAATGGGAATAATTACAGTACTGATTCCATATGGCTACTTTTAGGATTAAATTAACTGAGACAAGGTATAACCCTAGCACAGAGCAATTGTGAAACTTCTTTTGCCAAAATATCGTAACAGTGACAAAATAATGACAGTGAAAGATATCTGAAGTACCCGTCTCCATCTTGCCTTTATCATCCAAGCTGCCTTTGTTCATTCCTGGGTGTACGCTGAATTTTGGGAGGGATGTTTTACAGTTTAATTTTGAAACAAAGATGGTAACACCCCCTCCCAGGAACAAACTTCTTTCTTTCCTGGGGACCAGACTACCTTTGTAAAACTAACAAATTAGTCAGAAGATTAGAAATTATGGTTTGAGATTCATGCAGCCAGCCAGAGGCCACAAGATTCCTAATCTCCCCAATTGCTCCTATGGATACCATTACTATTGTAAAACCTAGCATTGGTGTTCAAGATATTTTTCAGACCTCGTATCCTGAAAAATCGGCTGGCACCACCCAAATCAGTAAAGTGGCTCATCTGGCCTTGTTGCCCCCTCCCAGGAACTGACTCAGCATAAGGGAACAAGTTTGACTCTCTGATTTCATCCCTGACCTAAGCAATCAGCATTCTCCATTCCCTAGACCCCTGCCCACCAAACCACCTTAAAAAAAACTCTAGTCTCTGAATTTTCAGGGAGGCTGATTTGAGTAAATAATAGCCCTCTGGTCTCCTAGGTCTCTGCCTCTTCATCTATTAAACTCTTTCTATCACAGTCCCCATCTTGATATATTCGTTCTATCTCGGCAGTGGGCAAGATGAACCTGTTGGGCTGTTACAATTGTGTAATAAATTTTAATTATTCATATTGTCATTTTCTTGAACAAGAAAAAACTACAGTGAGTGTTTTAAAAGTAAGTAAGTTTAAGTGGAGTTTTAATTGCTCAAAATTTTTCTTTTTTATCATATTACAATATTACAATGCTCTTCAAGAAAAAAATGTTTTATTATATAATACTCATATAAAACTGATGGTCAGCTGCAGGATCTTATCCTGATGATCAATTTTTTCCAGTATCGAATTATCACTGGTGTGAATTTAATTTTCTGAATTTCTTTAAAAGAGAATAAAATGAAAAACCCTGGCATCAGCATTAAAATTACACTAAGAGAAACCTAAAGAATGAACTGAGTTTACCTTTCTTTTAGATTCTGTTTTAACAGGGCTTCTAATATTCCTTTTCTTTCCCTTCTGCATTTTTCTGATGAACATTTTCTAAATTAATGTAGTCAAATATTTTCTGAATATACGTTCTGGGTAAAGTAATTTCTTTTTTTTTTCTGGAGAGACAAAAGATAAATTGGAAATAATTTTTGTCCTCAAGGAGCTTAGAGATGTAGTAGGAGGAGAAAAACATGTAAATACATGTAAAATTTCAATACCGTGGACAATCATTAAATAGAAGCATATACAAAGGAAAGAAGGTCATATGTCAAGAGTCCATTAGGTAAGGCTAGCAATTAGTAAGGTTAGATGCTTAAGAATCTTCTGTTTTGATTGATGTGGAGACACTTCAGTGGATGAAAGGCAGATACCAAGAGAAAGGAATTATTTAAAGTACTGAGTTCCAGGCATATGAAGCAAATTATGCCAAGAGAAGCAACGGGAAAGACTCCATTGTAAAAACTACAAGAATTAGCAAGTGTTCATGATAGGGGTGCAAAGGAGAGAAGTCATGAGTGCAGATCATAAAAGGCCTTGCATCATCATTTAAAAACATTTAATGTTTATCTGCTGAATTATGGAAAACCATTGAATGTCTCATGAAGCATAATGATGTAATCCTATTACAGAGATATTGAAGCAGCAGTATTGAGAAACAATAATTAATGGAATCAGGTGGGCAATGGAGGAAGATCAGTTTTCAGAGGCTTGCAGATTTCTGGTTTGGAATAAGTAGTACTAAGTTATGCTAACCATAAAAAATAGTGTAGTAAAAACAAACAATAGGTCTGCATTTTTTTAAAAACTGCAATAAACAGGGTATTACTTATTGGACTATATAATCTGAATGTGTTACAGGTTCTAACTACTTTTATGTCATTGCTCAGGAAAAACATTTGGTTTTGAAAGATTACCTGGTTAGCCATATATATGAAAATAATGTTTATTTACAACAAAGCAGCCCTGTACTCCAAATACTTTACCATAGGGGAAAAACAAGAACACCAGTGTCAGCATTATGCAGTATACACTAGACCCTTAATAAGTACTATGTGATAATTATTGCTATAATAAAAGAGAATGTGCTTTTGACTATTAATTTTCTAAACAGTTTAAGTATGACTTTTTGAGGTAATAGTCAGATTGAACACCATCATAGAAAGTAATACAAAATTACCATTTCAATTTCAGGGGCACATGGAATGAACTTAGAATAGGTTAAGTCTAGGAGTGACTTGTAAAAGGCTGTCTCAGATTTTGCTTTTGAAGGAGCTCATGTAAGTTATGGCGCCATGTGGCAAAGTTATTCTCAGTATAGTTATGCAAAGAGACACAGACTATCTCAGGTTGGTAAAATTTCATTTAGCTCAGTATAGCATACACAGTAACTTAGTAATATAAGGGAGTTATCATCATCTCTAGCACACTATCACAGAGGAACTTAGTCCTCAAAGAGAGTGTGTTGTTTATTTTACTCAGCATAAAACGAGTATTCTCCCTCTTTTTCCCACTCTAGTAATTTTCTCTAAGTTTCAACGTTCTTTGAAATTTAAAATAAGTGAATCAGTAGTTCTGAAAAGAATTAAACAAAATTGCTTGTTAATTTTTTTGTAATTTTAAAAGATAGGAGTAGAAAAATGTGAGTTAATTTAAATTCTCCCAATTTTTTATGTGTTTGAGATTTTTATTACATACATTTTTAATGCAGGAACATATTTTATGTTTTCTAATTTTTTTCTACATTACCTAAATGATCAAAATTTCATATGAAGAATACAGAAAAATAGCAATTCAGAATTATTTTCCAAAATCATTGAAATTCCTTGTATTTATATACCCATTATATTGTTTAAATGCATTCATATTCTCAGGCAACATACTCAATGAAAACTTGCAAAAATAATACAAAGAATGCTATACATCCAACATATAGAGAACCTCTAATTGATTTCATAGTGTATTCTTTTTTTTAACAGCAAAAAAATCCAAACTAGGATCATATATTGCACTCACTTATTTAGACTTTCTCTTATGTCTTTCTAGTTTCCTTCAATCTGAAATAATTTATCAGCCTTTATTGGCTTACATGACTAAGAAATTTTTATTACAAACCAATAATTTTGTAGAATATTTTTTCATGTGTGTTTATAGGATATTTCTGCGTGAGTAGATTCAGGTGATGCATTGTTTAGCTAAATTATCACAGAAATAATACTGCTATCTCATGGCATTCTATCAAGTGACACCCAATGTCTACTGGATTCGTTACTTGCAGTGTTAAATTGGGCTACTCAAGATGATATCAGACAGATTTTGCCATCATAAAGCGATGTTTCCCCATCCCATTCCCACTACAATTAATGAGTCCTTTATGACAAGATATTTCGAAACCATGTAAATCTCAAATTTTCATCCCTCTTTCCACATTAGTTTTAGCATCCATTGATATTTCTCAGGTAAATTAATGAATTATTAATATGATGGTTGTCAAATGTGATTTTCTAATTTAATATTTTATTCTACATTTCTAGTTGGTGTTCTATGGTAAGAAAGGTATTTGACTTCTATTTATTCTGTATTAGTATCTGTGTTGATCCACACATTTCTGTTTTAATTAGAACAATCTAATATTAGTAGGATTTTAATGCTCAAATTGCCTTAGATTTAATTGAAAAAGCTCCTTGAAGCTGGCTTCTGTGTTATTTTAATATACCCCTATAATTTTACAAGAAATTGTTTATTTTTCTCACACACAAAAATTATTTCAGGGTCAGATTACTCTTTCTTTTCCTTTGTCCTGGAATTGAACATTTTTCTAAGGTATTTAAAAATCAAGGTCTGAGTTCTAAGTGTCCTTATTATTGCCCCCAGGTATGCTCAGAGGACAGAAGGCTGGAAGGAAGGGAAGAAGGTAGAAAAACAAGAGTGAAAAAGAGGGTTTCCGATTTATGGATGTATATTAAAGCATATTGAAGATATCAGGTGATTTCATCCCTTTATACACTTCAGCATATATCTCCAAATGGTAAGAACATATGACTAATTTCATAATAAAAATAATGGCATTTTTAACCAAAATTTAAAATAATGTATTGATTTTATATAGCACCCAGTTCATAACAAAATAAAATAGTTCCCTCTAATCCTCTGAGGATACATTCCAAGATCCCCAGTGGACGCAGGAAATCTAGGATAGTACCAATTTACATATTTTACGTTTTTTCCTATACAAACATTTGTATTATAAAGTTTAAAGTACAAATTTAGGATAGCAAGATATTAGCAACAATATCTGATAAGAACTAGAACAATTATAATAATATAACTGTCATAAAGCAGATGATTCATACCCTAGGTGGGATAGAGTTGGGACAGTGCAAAATTTTATTATGTATTCAGAACAGCATGCACTTTAAAACTTATAAATTGTTCATTTCTGGCATTTTTCACTTAATATTTTTGAAATGCAGATGACTGATGGTAACTGAAGCCATGGAAAGTGAATACACAGATAAGGGGTGACTACTGTACCACTGATTGACTAAAAAAATGTATATTTCAACAAAGCTAGGGGCATCAAACTATCTGATTTTGAAATATGTTCTACAAAGCTATAGTCCTTAAAAGAGCATGGCAGTGGCATAAAAAATAGACACACCAACAAACAGAAAAGAATAGAGAACCCAGAAATGAACCTATGCATTTACAGTCAGTTGTTTTCTGACAAAGGTTCTAAAAACACAAAATGAGAAAAGGACAGTTTTTAAAAATATATATAAATGACATTGGACATCCATGTGCAGAAGAATGAGATTGGACCCTCATCTTACAACATCTACAAAAATCAACTCAAAATGGATTGAAGGCTTAAATATGAGACCTGAAATTGTAAAACCACTAAACAAAAACATAAGGGGAAACCTCCACAACATTGGACTGGGCAATGAGTTTTTGGATTTGACCCCCAAAACACAGGGAATAAAAGCAAAAATAGATGAATAGTATTGCATTATACTAAAAAGTTCCTGCACAGCAAAGGGAACAATTAACAGAGTAAAGAGAGAATCTATGGAGTAACAGAAAATACTTGCAAATCATAAAACTGATAAGGGATTAATATCCAAAATGTATAACGAATCAAACGACTCAATAACAAGAAAACAAATAACTCAATTTACAATAAATATGGGCAAAGTAGGTAGGGGCGGGCCTAGGTCCTAACCGCCCTGGGTCCTGGCAGTTCTCAGGCTTCTTGGGAGTCCAGGCAGGAAGCTCCCTGTTTTTCCTATTAACTCTAATTACTCCACTACTACATGCTTCCGTAACTGGAGTAGCCGCAACCTTAAGTCTCTGCAGGGATGATGCACAAGAGGAGAATATCTGTGGTATGTATTTCTGTAGCATCAGTTTTACTCCAAGGTTTTGAAGAAACAAATTTAATTAATTTATAAGACTCCAGACTTCCAAGATCTTGACCAGAACACCCAACAAGAGAAACACATTTACGGAGACAATAATGAGAGCAGGCTTCTCCAAGACCAAGGAACAGACTAGAATCAAAACCAGTTGACTGAACTTACCTTTTACCACAATCAAACTCCCAAGGGCATACAAAAATGCAAAGGACAGCAACTTCAAAGATTTAAGGAACATCAGCCCACACAGATGAGAAAGAACCAGCACAAGAACTTTGGCAATTAAAAAACCCAGAATATCTTCTTACTTCCAAACAACTGCACTAGTTCCTAAGCGCTGGTTTTCAACCAGGCTGAAATGTGAGAAATGTCAGAAATAGAATTCAGAATATGGATAGGAATGAAGATCATCAACATTCAGGAGAAAGTCAAAACCTAATCCAAGGAATTTACAGAATGCAATAAAATGATACAGGAGATTAAAGACAAAATGGCCATTAAGAAAGGACCAAACTGAATTAATACAGCTGAAAAACTCACTTCAAGCATTTCAGAATACAGTCTCAAGTATTAACAGCAAAATTGACCAAACTAAGGAAAGAATATCGGAGCTCAAATACCAGTTTTCCAAAATAACTCAGTCAGACAAAATAAAGAAAAACAATAAAGAAGAATGAATAAAGCCTTCACGTAATATGGAATTGTGTAAAGAGACCAAATCTATGACTCATTGGGATTCCTGAGGAGAGAAAGCAAGCAACTTGGAAAACATATTTGAGGATATCATCCACAAAAATTTTTCCCACCTCGCTAGAGAGGCCAACATTCAAATCTAGGAAATGCAGAGAACCCCTGTGAGATACTATACCAGATGACTATCCCTAAGACACAGTTGTCAGATTCTACAAGGTCAAAATGAAAGTAAAAATAAGATTGATAGACTGCTAGCAAGAATAATAAAGAAAAAATGAAGATCCAAATAAACACAATCAAAAATGACAAAGGGGACATTACCACTGATGCCACAGGAATACAAAATCTTCTGAGACTACTATGAACACCTCTATGCACAAAAACTACAAAACTGAAAAGAAATAGATGAATTCCTGGAAACATACAACCTCCCAAGATTGAACTAGAAAGAATCTGAATCCCTGAACAGATCAATAACAAGTTCTGCAATTGAATCAGTCACAAAAAGCCTACCAGCTAGAAAAAAGCCCAGGACCAGACAGATCCACAGATGAATTCTACAAGATGTATAAAGAAGAGCTGGTATTATGCCTACTGAAACTATTTCAAAAAATTGAGATGGAAGGATTCCTCCCTAACTAACTGGATGAAGCTAGCATCATCCGGATATTAAAACCTGGTAGAGACACAACAAAAAAAGAAAACTTCAGGCCAATATTTTTGATGAAAATTGATGCAAAAATCCTCAGCAAAATACAAGCAAGCCTAATCTAGCAGCACATCCAAAATCGAATCCACCATAATCAAGTAGGCTTTATCCCTAGGATGCAAAGCTGTTTCAACATATGCAAATCAATAAATGTAATTCACCACGTAAACAGAACTAAAAACAAAAACCACATGATCATCTCAATACATGCTGAAAAAACTTTCAATAAAATTCAACATCGCTTCATGTAGAAAACCTTCAACAAACTAGACATTGAAGGAACATACCTCAAAATAATGAGTCAACTATGACAAACCCATAGCCTACATTATACTGAATGGGCAAAAGCTGAAAGCATTCCTCTTGAGTCCTGGAACAAGACGAGGATGCCCACTTTCACCACTCCTATTCAACATAGTAATAGATGTGTTAGCCAGAGCAATCAGACAAGAGAGAGAAATAAAAGGCAAACAAATAGGAAGAGAGGAAGTCAAACTATATCTGTTTGCAGATTTATGATTCTATACATTGAAAACCCCACAGTTTTTGTCCAAAAACTCCCAGATCTGATAAACAACTTTGGCAAAGTTTCAGGATCCAAAATCAATGTACACAAACCTATAGTATTTTTATACTCCGACAACATCCAGGCTGAGAACCTAATCAACAACACTAACTCATTCACAATAGACATTAAAAGAATAAAATGTCTAGAAATATGGCTAACCAGGGAGGTGAAAGAGCTCTACAATGATAATTACAAAACACTGCTCAAAGAAATCAGAGATAACACCAACAAATGGGAAAACATTTTATGCACATGGATAGGAAGAAACAACAGACATCGGGACCTACTTGATGATGGAGGTTGGGAGGAGACAGAAGATTAGACAACTACCTATTGCGTACCATGCTCATTACCTGGACAACAAAATAATCTGTATACCAAATCCCTGTGACATGCATTTTATCTAGATAACAAACATGCAAATGTACCCCAAACCTAAAATAAAAGTTAATAGGCAAGTACATGAATTGATTTTTTTTTTTTTTTTTTTGAGACGGAGTCTCGCTCTGTCGCCCAGGCTGGAGTGCAGTGGCGGGATCTCGGCTCACTGCAAGCTCCGCCTCCCGGGTTCACGCCATTCTCCTGCCTCAGCCTCCCAAGTAGCTGGGACTACAGGCGCCCGCCACTACGCCCGGCTAATTTTTTGTATTTTTAGTAGAGACGGGGTTTCACCGTTTTAGCCGGGATGGTCTTGATCTCCTGACCTCGTTATCCGCCCGCCTCGGCCTCCCAAAGTGCTGGGATTACAGGCGTGAGCCATGAATTGATATTTGTCAAAAAAATACATAAAAATAGCCAACAAGCATATGAAAAAAAATGCTTAACATCATCAGTCATCAGAGAAATGCACGTTAAAACCACAATAAAATATCTTCTCATACATGTTAGAATGACTATATTCAGAAAGGTGAAAGATCATAAGTGGTGAGTATGTAGAGAAAAAGGAACCCTTATACACTGTTGGCAAGGATGCAATTTAGTACAGACATTATGGAAAAGTCTGGAAGTTCCTTTAAAAACTAAAAATGGAACTACCATATGATTCAGCAATCCCACCACTGGGCATATATCCAAAGAAATTGAAATCAGTAGTTTGAAGAGATATCTGCACTCCCATGTTCATTGCAGCATTATTCACAATAGCCAAGATGTGGAATCAACCTAAGTGTACATCAAATGATGAATGAATAAAGAAAGTGGGATTATATGTACAATGGAATACCATTCAGTCTTACAAAAATAGAATGGAATTCTGTTTTGTGCAACAACATGGATAAAACTTGGAGGGCATTATGCCAAGTGACATTAAGTAGGCACAAAAAGACTGTTACCGCATGAGCTTACTTGTATGTGGAATCTAAAAATGTCGATCTCATAAAAGTTGAGAGGAGAATGGTGGTTATCGAAGGCTGGTTTGGGGCTGGGGCATTAAGTGTAGACATGTGCATTAAAGGGTACAAGTTTCAGTTAGGAGGAATACGTTTTTGAGGTTTATTGCACAGCAGAGTATAGTTAATAATAACATATTTCAAAATTGCTAAGGGAGTACATTTCAGATGTTCTTACAACAAAAAATTAATATGTGAGGTAATGGGTATATGAATTATCTTGATTTTATTATTTCACAATATGTACATCTCTTACATCACATTGTCCTTCATAGATACTTGTCAATTCAAAAAAATTATTTAAAATATTTATGATATGCCCCCCAAAAAAGTCTTAAAGTTGGTCTGTTCAGTTCAGTCTGTAATAAATGCCCATATCTTGCATTGTGTTGTATTTAAGTATTTTTTAAATTAGGTGTTTCCTCTAACATTTTTATTCCATTAACTCTTGAAGAAACAGAATCAGTTGTCCTTGATCAAAAAGGTGTTAATTTCCCCTTCAGCTGGAGTAAACATTAGACAAGTTTCATTTTACCCATAGGTTTCTGAGCTACCTTTTCTTATAGCATTTGCTTTATAAAGTATGCAATTTTAAATCATTTATCTGCTTCTTTGAGATGCAAATCATGAAGCCTCTTGCCGAATTTACAACTTAGGAATCTCTTTCTCAAGGATCTGGGAGTCATCCCATTGAAATGCAATCATCAAGAATGATAGAACCTCTATCTTTCAGTCTCTGTGAGAGGAGAGGTGCCAATTAGGTATCAATTAGGAAACATAGATGGTCTAATCCTATTTATCAACCTATCCTGTAAAGTTTTCCAGTACTGTTCCACTAGCATGTCCTGGTGCTTAAAGCTCTCCAGCCTTTTGTTTCAAGACAGTTGAATTCAACATCCCTTTCCTATTGCAATAGTCTTGTATAAGGTCTTCCTTACCTGTTTAACTTGTCCAGTTCAATTTTCTATTAACATATTGAAGCCTGCCCATTCCTCCAAAGTCATCTTTGTAGCTCCTTGTCACAGAGGTTTAGTCTCTGTGTTTCCTGTAAACTGGTAGTTAGACATAAAATTTTGAATAGCTCTAAGTTCAATTTATTAGCAAGAATACTTAAGAGGTGATTCTGCCTTATTAATATAGGAGGTACATATCGTGGATTAAATTATATGTCCCCAAAATAGATATGTCAAAGCCCTAACCCACTATTAAAAGAAACTTTCAGACAAAACAAATTTAGCAGAGTTTATTTGAGCAAAGATTGGTTTAGAATAACTCAGAACCAGAAGAAGTTCGGAGCGGTTCACCCAGCTGTGTGAAGAGTGAGCTTGTAGAGGTCAAATAGGGATGCAAAATGGAGAAATCGCCTGATTGACTACAGCCAGGCATCTGCCTTATTTGGGCATAGTGTGTTCACTTGGCTAGCTGTGATTAGTTAAGCTTAACTGTTTGTGATTGGCTGAAACCCTGGTTATTTGTTACAAAACTATACTTTTAAATTAGCTTTTTTTTTCTTTTCATACTAAGTTAGATTGCAATTGGTTATGGAAGAACTCAAAGTAGGGAGAAAGCCTTCAGCAGCTTATATTACATCTCAATGTAACTGTATTTAGATATAAGCCCTTTAAACCGGCATTTAAAGTTTAATGACGTCATAAGGGTGGAGGCCTATAGCATCCAATAAGATTGGTGTTCTTACAACAGGTGAGAGAGACAGACACTGGGAGTGCTCATGCGCAGAGGAAAGGCCGTAGGAGGATGCTATAAAAAGGCTGTTGTCTGCAAGCCAAGGGGTGAGGCCTCGGGAGAAACCAAGCCTGTTGACACCACGATCTTGGACTTCCACCCCTTCAGAACCGTGAGAAAATAAGTTTCTGTTGTTTAAGGCTCCTAGTCTGTGGTGTTTTGTTATGGCAGTCCTAGATGAGTAATATAGCCCATAATATCAAGTTGTCCATACCTGGTAATGCTACATTTGATCAGTACTTTCAAGTAGAAACAGCCTGAGACTTCCATTCCTGTGGCAGGTTGTTGGGGGAGAGATCACTGAGTGGAGTGGTTCCCAATTGTAATCACCTGGGGACTCCTAACACAGCTGATGCCCAGCTAGCACCCAGGATAATTTAAATTAGAAACTTCAGGTTGGTATCCAGGTGTTAATATTTTTCATCAACTAAATTGATTGATAAATCACAAACCAAAGTATTCGTGAATTTAGACTAGTTTAATGCGTGCAACTAGAAACGCAGTTAAAATATAGAGCATTTTTATCACGCTCGGGAGTTTTACCTGCTCTGTACAGGACTGATCCTGGTGATTTGGATGTCTACTAGTAATTTTGTATCAATATAGCACCTTGAAGTTTATAAGAGAGTTATGAAGAGCCAAAGTGTTGTAATATAAAGCCATATGAATACTACCACACTACCCTTAAGGACTGTGGACAGGTGTAGGAAGGAACTTTTAACTAGCATAGCAGTTTGCAATATATATGTTTGTTATTCTTGTTCTTTGTCTTCTTCTTCCCTTCTGTCTCTTTCCCTCCCTTTTGTTCTTCTCTGCCTCCCTTCCTCCTGTCTCCCTCTCTCTCACTTCCTCCTGACTTCGTTCTTTCTTTTTTTCTGAACTCTGCCAGCTATTTTATTACAGTCTTTGCCTTAAGCAAACAAAAACAACAACAACAAAAAACTCCTGCCTTTTGACTCTGTCAATTTACTGATTTTAATCTTTATTTTAGCTAAAAATCAATGTAAATTGGATACTCTTGAGAGCCAGCAGGGGGTGTGCTAGTCTACAAATAAACTATATGATGTTTAGTGTTGGACATAATTTTATAGTTCTTGCCTAACTAAATACAGTGTTCTGTGTGGGAATATCCCATTTCACTGAGATTTGTATAGTTGCAGAATTATTACATATCATTATCATGATTTTTATAATCCTCAAAATCCAGCCAACCCCTACTTTCCTTTCTGCCATTGGGAACCCCGTAACTGCTAGCAGTGATCTCTACACTGTGTTAACCTCTTCTCTGAATATTCTCTACACTTTCCAGCCTTTGTTAACAGCTGCTCCTCATGATATCTCCTGTCTCTAGCATTCTCAGAGGAACCTGTTTTTACTGTTACTTAGCCTCAGAGCCAGAAGGAAGGGGCTGTGTGGTGTGGACTTGGTGTTCTATCTCAACAGTGCTCTGTCAAACCCTCTCTGCTCTGCTGTCAGGTGTAGACTTCTTAGCCCTTCCTACTTCTTCAGTGTCACACATGCTCCTCACTTAAGCTCCTGGTTCATATTTATTAATTCCTATAGCCACGCTTCTGTGATCACAGGTAAGTTCACTGTTTATGAATCTCCCAGATGACTGCCTCCCATTCCTTCCCTTCACTTCTGCAACACTCCTCGGTCATCACTCCGGCATCTAAATATCCACTGCACTGACCTTATACATTTTCTCTTTCTCCCACATTTGATTCTGTGGATTGTTCTTTATAGTTAAACTATTGCAGATGTCTTCAAACAACAACCCCCTCTCTCCTACCATCACACTTAACTGGTGGACCACAATCAAAAGCAAAACAAACTATTTTCTGTATGCTTTACCCAAGCAGGTGAATTTTGCTAGAGACAAAAACACAAACAGTCTCACTGGTTTAACTTTAAATTAATAATAACATGCCTCAAATAAGTACTTGAAATTGCCTGTTGATCTTATGCTGTGTCTTTAGAAAATTTATTTTCTTACTATGTATAAATACTATTTTATCATTTCTCCTTTATCATCCTCACAATGCTATTTTGACACTCAGCTGATGGCTTTGCATCCTGCTTGACTGACAAAAATAAAAGTCTCTAATATTTAGGCTGGAATCATAGGAGCAAATTAGAATTGCCGCAAGCAAACCAGGGCACAACATACTTGTTTCCTTTACAAAATATGTAATATGTCAGTGAATTTTTTCCTGTAACGGGATTGCATTACAAACAATAAAGTTTTTAAGTATTTGTTTCTAATAGATTTTTATGTCAGTGTGCCAGGATCCTCATTAATGTCTTGAGATAGGTGAGTGGTTTTAAAAAATGGTATAGAGAATGAAAAGGGACTTAGCTTGGGGATTAGTAGCTGGGTTGCATATTCACCCTACTAAAAATTCACTATGTAAATTTATGTACCTTTTATAATCTTCATAGGATTTGGTTCCTTAACTGGAAAATGAGTACACTGGCCTGCGTGATCATTAAAGACTCTTTAAATCTGACATTCTATAATTCCCTGTGTACATAAATATCCTACAGAGCTCAAAGTGACAAGGATTCGTTGCATGGCCATAGTTTAGTCAAGCTTCTGAACCTTTTTCTAACTCTGTATATGTACTTCCTTATAAAATTCAGTTTTGGTAAAGAATGCTACTAAGGTAGTTTGACAAGAACTCTTCACCCTTGATATCTGATTACCCTCAATGTCTGAATGGGATTCTAATCCTCCACCATTTCTCAGGTGATGACTGATCACCCTGGCCTAGCTTCAGCAAGAATCCTGTTAGGTGAGTTTAGGCAAAATCCCCCTTACTTCTGTTTGGTCTTAGTAATTTTCCATCTATTGATTTCCACAATGCTAGTTAGCTATAAATTTCCATTTGCCCATGCTGTTTTGCAGCTAGGCCCAATCTCTCTCCCACACTTCAAGACTCTGTTATAGTTGTTCCTCCACCTATCTCAGTGGTTCTGAGGAAAATCTTCCTTACCATGCTTTAACAAGTACCATTGAATATTATTTACTTTGAATGTTATTTACTTTATCAAAAGCAGTATAAACACATGAGTATGGCTAATAACACAAGTATTGTTTTAGAAAACTGTCTTCATCATGAATTAACAATTCTAGATTCTATGACATAAAAATAATATGTAGAAAGACCTTTTGTCATCTGTACAGTAGCATACAGGTAAATTTTCTTCAGTAAATTTAATTGCAATAAATTTATTGTATTCTTAACTATGGTACATTATAATTAATTTTTATCATACCCCAAGGGGGTGTTGCTCATAGACTATGCTAAAACTTTTCTTAAAAATTTCACAGATGTTTTATATTAGAAAGAAGGAAGTCCCCTTGGAACATCATAAAATTTAGAAATATAGCTCAATACCCAAATGCTATAAATTCACACATTTTCTTTGGAGTTCCTGAGCTTTGTAAATTAAGTCTAATCCCCAATGCATAATATATGTTGTCAGCTTCCAGTTGCTATTAATAACACGTGGTTTTCCTCTTAAAACAAGTGTAGGATATTATTCTCTAACATCGAGGCATGACAGTTCCAAGTTTTTGAAGCTGAATGGGGGTGATGATTATAAATGAATTAATAGAAATTTTTAAAATACAGGAAAATTCAGAAAATTAGAAATGTACTAGGAAGTAGGCTCATTTGTTAATTGGTGCTAAGCCAAAGTCACTTAGCATAGTAACCCCGTTGAAGTGAAAATTTCCCTGAGTGGCTGAAGCAGTGATTAAAAACCTGTGATTAAAAACAGATGAAGTTATGAGAGCAAATTTTGATCACATTTTTAAAGGCATTATTTTGATTTATTTAATAAATATAATTTCTACCATTTCAAACTTATTTCAGAAAGGCTAAAATAAATGTTAATTAGTTGTAATGATTTAAAATTAGGCTCTGTGTTTATATTGGGCCTATTTAATGTGACTTAATTTTTTTATGAAGCCAGACATGGTGGTGCACACCTGGTGTCCTAGCTACTTAGGAGTCTAAGGTAGGAGGACCGATTTGACCCAGGAGTTCAAGGCTGCAGTGAACTGTGATCATGTCAATGAACCCTACTTCTACCCTAGGCATCAGAGTGAAAACCTGCCACTTAAAAAAATTAAATTATAACATCTACACAAACTTTGTGTTTATCTAACCTTAATCTCTCATCATTCACACACACATGCACATAATCATATATACATATATATTCTTATCATAAATCTAAATATTTAAATCTATGTCTATATTGCCTAATTTAGCATTTTCTTATTGTTTTTCCCCATTAGAAAACTGGCAAATCACCTCTGTATCTTTTTCCCATTTGCTGATGTAACAAATTACCATACATTTGGTGCCTTAAAGCTTAAGGCTTAAACAACACAAGTTTTTCATCTTACATTTCTGGAGGTCAGGAGTTTAGGATGAGTTTCACTGGAATAAAATCAAAGCAGTGGAAGAACTGAGTTTCTTCCAAAGTCTTTGGGGGAAAAACATGTTTTCTCACCTTTTACAGCTCCAAAAGACTGCCCACTTTTCTTTTCTTGTGGCCCCATTCAATTTTCAAAGCCATTTATGGATGAGCAAGTCTTTCTCACACTATACCACCCTGACATTGACTCTTCTGCTTCTACCATCTTTTAAATACCCTTCCGATTACATTGGGCTCATTTGGATTATCCAGGATAATCTATCTTAACTTCATCTTATTAGTCACTATAATTTTTTTTTTTTTTGAGACAGAGTCTTGCTCTGTTACCAGGCTGGAGTACAGTGGCACGATCCCAGCTCACTGCAAACTCTGCCTCCCAGGTTCAGGTGATTCTCCTGCCTCAGCCTCCTGAGTAGCTGGGACTACAGGCATGCACCACCACGCTCAGATAATTTTTGTATTTTTAGTAGAGATGGGGTTTCACCATTTTGGTCAGGATGGTTTCGATCTCTTGACCTTGTGATCTGCCTACTTCGGCCTCCCAAAGTGCTGGGATTACAGGAGTGAGCCACTGCACCTGGCTTAGCCACCTTAATTATTTCTGCAATCTAAATTCCCTCTTATCATGTGATATATTCACAGCTTTCAGGGATTAGGATGTAGAAATATTTGACCAGCTGTTATTCTTCTCACCGCAGCCTTCCACCTTTAACATATCCATTGTGAAAAATAATTTTCAAATGTTGAAATCGTCCTTATAAACTTTGTAAAATTAATTAGCGAAGAAGGGAGGCAGAGAAAAATAAACCAAGCTTGAAGCACATTCAGCATTACTTATTAGGCCGGCTTGCTCTCTGACCTGCTTCCTCATAGTTATTTGCTTCCAATTGCTTCAGAATCATATCAGCCTTGTTGCAAGGTTATAGTTTTCTTTAACTGCCCTATACATAACGACTTAAGCATTGTGAAACATTAAGTTTCCCATTTCAGATATTCTTTGAGGTCCTGACTCTTAGTTAAACTACTGACATCTGCTGATATGAAGGACCTGATAAGAAGCTGACTCACTAAAAAATGCAGTTTCCACATCCTAATAACTTCATCCCCCTTAACTCAACCAGTCAGGAACCCCAATTTTCCAGACTCTTTCCATCCATGATCCCTGTATTAGTCTGTTCTCACACTGCTAATAAAAACATACTGGAGACTGGATAATTTAAAAAGGAAAGAGGTTTCATTGACTCAGTTCTGCAGGGCTGGGAGGCCTCAGGAAATTCACAATCATGGCGGATGGGGAAGCAAACATGGTAGAAGGAAAGAAAAGTGTCAAGCAAAGTGGGAAAAGCCCATTATAAAACCAACAGATCTCATGACAACTCACTCGCTGTCATGAGAACAGCATGGGGGTAACCATCCCCATGATTCAATTACCTCCCACCAGATCCCTCCCATGACACGTGGGGACTATGGGAAGTACAATTCAAGATTAGATTTGGGTGGAGACATAGCCGAAACATATCAGTACACTCCTGGCCCCTCCCAAATCTCATGCACTCACATTTCAAAACCCCAAGTCTTAGCTCATTTCAGTATTAACTCCAAAGTCCACCTATGAGCCTGTAAAATCAAAAGCAAATTAGTTACTTCCTAGATAAAATGGAGGTACAGGCTTTGGGTAAATACATCTG
Organism: Homo sapiens; assembly: GCF_000001405.40. Taxonomy (NCBI): domain Eukaryota; kingdom Metazoa; phylum Chordata; class Mammalia; order Primates; family Hominidae; genus Homo; species Homo sapiens. Next base: position 81,546,084 of record NC_000013.11, read on the forward strand.
TTCCAAATGGGACAAATTTGCCAAAACAAAGGAGCTACAGGCATCATGCTTGTCTGATATCCAATAGGGCAGTTAAACCTTAAAGTTCCAAATTATCTCCTTTGGTTCCATGTCTCACATCAAGGTCATGCTGATGCAAGAGGTGGGCTCTCATGGCCTTGGGCAGCTCTGCCTCTGTGGCTTTGCAGGGTACAGCCCCCTCCTGGCTGCTTTCACAGGCTAGTGTTGAGTGCCTGCAGCTTTTCCAGGTGCATGATGCAAGCTGTTGGTGGATCTACCATTTTGGGTTCTGAAGGATGTTAGACCTCTTCTCACAGCTGCACTAGGCAGTGCCCCAGTGAGTACTCTGTGTGGGCTCCAACTTAGCATTTGCCTTCCATACTGCCCTAGCAGAGGTTCTCCATGAGGGCTCCACCCCTGCAGCAAACTTTTGCCTGGACATCCAAGCATTTCCATACATTCTCTGAAATCTAGGTGGAGGTTTCCAAACCTCAGTTCTTGACGTCTGTGCACCTACAGGCTCAACACCTCATGGAAGCTGGCAAGGCTTGGGACTTGCACCCTCCAAAGCAATGTCTTGAGCCATACCTTGGCCCCTTTTAGCCTCGGCTAAAGCTGAAGCAGCTGAAATGCAAGGCACCATTTCCTGAGGCTGTACAGAGCAGGAGGGCCCTGGGCCCAGCCCAGAAACCCATTTTTCCTATCTAGGCCTCCAGACCTCTGATGGGAGAGGCTGCCATGAAGTTATCTGACATGCCCTGGAGACATTTTCCCCATTGTCTGGTGACATTCTATTCATCATTCCTTATGCAAATTTCTGCAGTGGGCTTGAATTTATCCCCAGAAAATGGGTATTTCTTTTCCATTGCACTGATCAGGGTGCTAATTTTCCAAACTTTTATGCTGTGTTTCTTCTTGAATACTTTGCCGCTTAGAAGTTTCTTCTGCCAGATACCCTAAATCTTCTAAGTCCAAAGTTCCACAGATCTCCTAAAGCACAGCAAGAGTGACCGTTACTTCAGTTTTCAACAAGTTCATCATCTCCATCTGAGACCACCTCACCCTGGACTATTAGCATTGCAAAGCCATTCAACAAGTTTCTAGGAAGTTCCAAACTTTCCAACTTTTTCTGTCTTCTTCTGTGCCCTGCAAACTGTTCCAACCTCTTCCTGTTATCCAGATCCAAAGTTGTTTCCACATTTGTGGGTATCCTTATAGCAGCAACTCACTCTCTCAGGGCCAATTTAGTGTATTAGTCTGTTCTCATGCTGCTAATAAAGGCATATCCCAAACTGGGTAATTTATAAAGGAAAGAGGTTTAAGTGACTCACAGTTCAGCATGGCTGGTGAGGCCTCAGCAAACTTACAATCATGGCAGAATGGGAAGCAAAGATGTCCTTCTTCACATGGTAGAAAGAAGGAGAAGTGCCAAACAAAGAGGAAAAAGCCCCTTATAGAATCATAAGATTTTGTGAGAACTCACTCGCTATCATAAGAACAGCAGCATGGAAGTAACTGCCCCCATGGTTCTATTACCTCCCAACAGGTCCCTCCCACAAACACGTTGGGATTCTGAGAACTACAATTTAAGATGAGTTTTGGGTAGGGATGTAGCCAAACCATATAAATCTCCCCTAAACCCCATTGCAGCACTCCTTGGGGAGATGGATTAGAGTGTCCTTCCCATCTCCTCTCTCAGCCCCCCTACTATCACTAAACTTTTTCTCTGCTACAAACTCTGCTGTCTCTGTTATTGTGCAGCAGGCATATGAACCTGTTGGTCCATAAAAATATTTGTGGATTTTTTTTTTTTTTAAATGAAGCCTGTTCACTACTGTGACAGCAGACTTCAAGGTGGCTCCCAATGATATCCACATCCTGGTATTCATACTCTTGTGAAATTTCCTTTATTTGAGTACAGCCTAGCCTATCGAATAGATTTTAACAAGTAGAATATGGCAAAGTGATGAAGTGTAACTTTATAATTAGACTACAGAAATTGTAATTTTTATGTTGGTAGCAAATTATGTCTTTTGCTGGCTGTGATGGAAAATGTGATCATGATGGGTAGGCCCATGTGACAAGGAACTGAGAGTGCCTCTGACCAATAGCTAGTAAGAAACTGAAGCCTAGAGTCAAATTGTTCTTGAGAGAGTATATGCTACCAGCAACCACATAAGTAATCGTGGAAATGTCCTTCCCCAGTCAGATGTTCAGACTGACTTGCCTGTAGCCTTATGAGAGACACTGAATTAGGAGACCTGCCAAAACTGGGTCCAGATTCCTCATTCACAGTTAGTCTAATAAAGCACTAAATTGTGTAATAATTTATTACACAACAATATACAACTAAAACAATCTCCTCTTTCTTCTTTCTTAATCAAGTAATAACTTGGTCTTATAATTGGGGCAAACAATTCAGCGAAAAATGAAATGTTTACAAAGTAGATATTTAAAAAGGGTCTCATCTTGACTTCAGAATTTAAAAAAGACTTTATCCATTAAGGAGTATAAAATGACTCATGTCAAGGTATTTGGAAAAATAATAAGTTAAAAAAGATTTCCTCTCACCAGCTTAGTAGTGGATTGTGTATTTTTAAGGAAGATGAAACTTGCCAGGCAAAGGATGGGGAAATAGAATTGGTTATCCCCAGAGAGAGAATACTTGCTCATTTTTGGACCAAGTCCTCAAGAAGACAAGTAATCATATTATTTGAATGCAGAGGACATCTATGCCTTGCAGTTAGGAAGGTGTAAGATTTTTGAGAGACTATAACTAGATGTTGTATCCAGATGGAGCCTAAGGAATCTCAGAATGTTTTGCATAATCTAGTGTAGCTTATAAGAATAGAACAATTGCAATGAACAATGGTAGCCTATAAGCAGTAGAAGAGTAGAGCAGCACCTAAGGAAGCCAAGTGGAGTTCCTGAAGTCTATCTCTGCAGTGGCCATTAGGCATCAACAAAGAAGGGAAAGGGTTGTATTAGTCCATTCTCACACTTCTATAAAGAACTAACTGAGACTGGGTAATTTATTTATTTTTTTAAAAAGCTGTGTAGCTGACTCACAGTTCTGCAGGCTTAACAAAAAGCATGGCTAAGGAGGCCTCAGAAAACTTGTAATCATGGCAGAAGAGGAAAAGGAAGCAAACACATCTTACAAGTGGCAGGAGAAACAGTGAGAGGGGGGAAGTGCCACACTTTTAAACCATCGGATCTCATGAGAACTCACTATCATGAGAACAGCATGGAGGAAACTGTGTCCCCAGTCCGATCACCTCCCACCACAGCCCTCCCTCAACACATGGGTATTACAATTCAGGGTGAAGTTTAAGTGGGAATACATAGCCAAACCATATCATATTACCCCTGGCCCATCCCAAATCTCATGTCCTTCTCACATTTCAAAATATAATCATGCCTTCTCAACAGTCCCTCATAGTCTTAACTCATTTTAGCGTTAACTCAAAAATCCAAGTACAAAGTCTCATCTGAGACAAGACAAGCCCTTTCTGCTTATGAGCCTGTAAAATCAAAAGCAAATTAGTTACTTCCTAGATACCATAGGGATACAGGCATTGGGTAAATTCACCCATTCCAAGTGGGAGAAATTAGCCAAAACAAAGGGGTTACAGGCCCTGTGCAAGTCTGAAACCCAACAGGGAAGTCTTTAAATGTTAAAGCTCTAAAATAATATCCTTTGACTCCAAGTCTCACATTCAAGGCACACAAATGCAAGAGGTGGGCTCCCAAGGCCTAGGGTACCTCCTCCCTTGTGGTTCTGCAGGGTACAGCTTCCACAGTTGCTTTCACAGGCTGGCATTAGTGCCTGTAGCTTTTCCAGTTGCATGGTGCAAGCTGTCAATGAGTCTATCATTCTGGGGTCTGGAGGATGGTGGGCATCTTTTCACAGCTCCACTAGGCAGTGCCCCAGTGGAGACTCTGTGTGGTGGTTCCAACCCTACATTTCCCCTTTGCATTGCCCTAGTAGAGGTTCTTGAAGGTTCTGCCCCTGCAGCAGACTTCTCCCTGGACATCCAGGTATTTCCATACAACCTTTGAAAACTAGGTGGAGGTACCCAAACCTCAACCCTTGTCTTCAGTGTACCCACAGGCCAAACATCACATAGAAGCTGCCAATTTTTGCAGCTTGCCCCCTCTGAAGCAACAGCCTCAGCTATACCTTGGCTCCTCTTAGCAATGGCTAGAGTGGCTGGGACACAGGGTGCCATGTTGTTAGTGTGCAGGGAGTAGCAGGGCCGGGGCACAGCCCATTAAACCATTTTTCTCTCCTAGGCCTCTGGGTCTGTGATGGAAGGGGCTGACATAAAGATCTCTGAAATGCCCTGGAAACATTTTCCCCATTGTCTTTTTTATTAACATTCAGCTCCTTGTTACTTATGCAAATTTCTGCAGCTGGCTTGAATTTCTCACTAGAAAATGGGTTTTTCTTTTCTATCACATGATCAGGCTGCAAATTTTCCAAACCTTTATGCTCTTCTTCCCTTTTAAACGTAAGTTCTAATTTCAGGCTATCTCTTTCTTCATGCATGTAAAAATACACATCTAGAAAAAAACAGATTTAATCTTGAATGCTTTGCTGCTTAGAAATTTCTTACACCAGATAATCATCTCTTTCAAGTTCAAAGTTCCATGGATCTCTAGGGCAGGAGCAAAATGCTGTCATTCTCTTTGCTAAAGCATAGTTAGAGTCACATTTGCTTCACTTCCCGAAAAGTTTCTTACCTCCATCTGAGACCACCTAAGCCTGGACTTCATTGTTCATGTCACTATCAGCATTTTGGTCACAACTATTCAACAAGTCTCTAGGAAGTTCCAAACTTTCTCTCATCTACCTGTCTTCTTCTGAGCCCTCCAAACTGTTTCAGCCTCTGCCCATTACCCAGTTCCAAATTCACTTGCACATTTTCAGGTATCTTTCTAGCAATGCCCCCTTTTCTCAATACCAATTGTCTCTGTTAGTTTGTTCTCACATTACTACAAAGAAATACCTGAAATTGGGTAATTTATAAAGAAAACAGGTTTAATTGACTCACAGTTTCCCAGGCTTAACAGGAAGCATGGCTAGGAGGTCGTAGGAAACTTACAATCATGATGGAACAGGAAGTAAGCATATCTTACATGGCAATAGGAGGAGGGTAATTGCAACACTTTCAAACCATCAGATCTTGTGAGAGCTCACTATTTTAAGAACAGCATGGAGGAAACCACCCCCATGATCCAGTCTCCTCCCATCAGGCCCCTCCATTGACATATGGGGATTACATAAGAGATTTAGGTGGGGACACAGAGCCGAACCATATCAGGGGCCAAATCCACCATATAGCTTGGATCCATGAAATTTAGCCACAACCTAGGTGAAAGAGGAAGCAACCTTAAATTTACTGAGACTTAATTTCTAATCCTTCAGAAAAGTGTTGACTGGGTAGTCACCTCTAAAACTATGGTTTTTTCAAGCCTTCGTAGTCTTCTCATTGAAACAAGACTGGTCTTTCTATTGGTTCCTTTTAATAGTTTATATATTTTATTTGCTCACATATTGTTCTCCTGGTTTCTTTTATCTCTTTGAGGTCTTTGTCCATGCTTTCCTTCAGCTCTTTAAACTCTGTGTCATACTAACAATGTCTGTGCTTCCACAGGGGCAGTTTTTTAAATTTCTTCTTTGAATGGGATATATTTTGTTATTCCTTTGCATGCTTCATATATTTTGTTTGTAACTTGGATGTCGAATATTTTAATATGGTTCTGAAATTCAGATTGTTCTCTTCAGCCTTGTTTTTTGATTTGTCTGTTGTGGGCTGTAGCTATTTGCTTCGTGACTTTTCCAAACAGTTTTTAAAAAACTGTGTTATTTTCATGGTCCCTAGAGTCTCTGCTCCTTATCGTATAATCAGTCAACATTTTGACAGGGATTTTCTTAAATGCCAGAGGAAGAGATAGAGAGGGAAGAGAATGATTTAAAAATATAAATAAGTAAAAGAAAAATATCTGCTTTTCTTTCTAGATTGGCATGGTGTTTGCATACTTTTTCAACACTTAGCCAGGCCATTTTCAACTATGTCTTATCTTTCACTTTGTCTTTCAGTAAGTCTCAGAGATCAGACAGAGTTGAAAGTTTGGAATCTTCTCAGTTTTTTCTAAGCTTGCCTCTTGCCTTGGGTGTGTATTTGGCTTCCTAAGTTTCCCAGAATACAAAGAGTATTTTTAATGTTCTTATTTTCCAAAGAAACTCTCTCCCCAGATTTTCCTATGAGGCTTGAGGAGGTCTGTTATATATCTCAACCATAACCTTTTCCTCCTTGATCTGAGGGTTGTTTGCCTTAAGAAGTTTTAAAGGAACACCTGCTGCTTTTCCACCCTGAGTGAATTTCATGTTAGGTGAAATAAAGACAAATGCCTGAGTAAGTAATTTTTGGCTAGCACCAGGCTGGTTAGAACAGATAAATACAATTATTTGTCCTTGAGGTCTCCTCTCCTCTCTTTGAAACCAGATACCAGAGTTTACACTGGGAACACTGGCTGCCATCTTCAAGACCATCATCAAACTGTCAAGAAGAACAAGGGAAAATAAAAGTGCCACATAGCTTTCTTATCATTTTTATGTTGCCTTTTTATTTATTAAGCATTTACTTGTTGGCGGTAATCCTTTGTTTTTCAGAATTCCGATAAAGTTGATTCTGATCATTTTTGCTTGATTTTTTTGAAGTTTCTGTGGAGTGATGGGCCATTGAAGCTGCCCACTCTACCACTTTTGCTGGCATCCTCTAAGCTAATAGTTATTCAGCAATAGATACATAATGTTCTGACTCAAACTAAAATTAAGTTGCATGTATTAGGCATCTCTTATGTGTTTCTTGATTCTCTCAGCGCTGCCATCTTCCCTACCTGCTTCACTTCCCTCCTTACTCCTAAGACTTCTATCTTCGGTATTGCTACAATAATTCCTGAGTCCTGGACCATGTAGCCACTATTTCATAAATTAATGCAACAAGTAATAGGTGACCATTTGTATGTGACTTCTGAGAATCCTTAGGCACAACCGTTCAAGACCCACAGACTTAGAGACAAGCACCAGACTGATAAACTAAACCGCCATGTTATTGGTTCTTCCTATCATTTCTGAACTTGGAGAAAATCTATGCTTTTGGCTAAAGAAACTGTCTAGCATAACAGGAAAAATCAAGACGATGAATTTCCTTTTTCTCCTCCTCTCCATGAACTGTTCTACAAAGCAGCAGTTAATAATGCCTCAATGAAGACATCATTGAAGGCCAAGTGATCAGCTGTGCTTGATATGAAGAACAATCAGTTTCCTAATACACTCTTTTCTGTGTGGTCTCCATCCTTTCTGGCCACACTTTGTTTTCCGTCCCCCTCCCATTTCTCTTTCTGCGGGATTGTACTTCTCAATGAAATAATACCATATAAGTTTAATTTAGGTTGTGTTTTCTACAGAACATTGGGTGAGGCCTTAAAATATAGAGGATTTTTTTTAATGTGTGTTGTACCCAACCAAGTGTGCAAACTAAGATTCATAACAATTACACATCATCACTAGCCATTCTAATTTTGCACAATGTAAATTCTCATTAGCAATATATCTTTTTGGAGTTTAAATTTAGGGCAACAATCATCACAGCTAGGTAATTGTAAGGTTATTAAATTCACCTACTCCACAACTATTCATTAAATGGTCAACAGTGGTTGGCATATTATGCAAGATAACACCGCTTATAAATAGATTCAGAAGCCATGGTTTGTGTCCTCTAGGGGCTAATAACTGCCTAGAATTACATTACTTGAATATTGTTTCCCTTTTAATAGTGTTACTTTTGGAGATATTTTAAATTACTTCATGTAGAACCAAAAAGAAGGTAGCCTAGTTTCTGTTATTCTTTTAGTCACAGCAAAGCAAAATCTTTATACCAGTAATTTCAAAGTTATCCAAGTCCACTTTGACAAAAACACCTGAGTACAGGCAGAAAGAGAATAACTTCAGTATGATGGATAAAGAACAGAACAAAGATGTATGTGGGTGAAATTCACGTAAACAGAGAATGAAATAGTCTTGCTAAACCACTGAAAGTTTTAGTAATTTTGAGCAAATTTCTTTTACCTTTTTACATCTTCAGATAGAGGCTTCTTCATTTTCTATCTCTGGTATGCATCTCCTATATACTTACTTAGGTTTGAAACAGCCTCTCTGCATATGCCATAATTTCATATCTATCAATTTTGAAAAGGAAACTGGCAGAGTTGGGAACTTTTGTGCTTCTTCTAGCTTGATTTCACTAAAAATTCTTAATCATTCTTTAATATAAATAAGAAATAGGGCCAGGCACTGTGGCTCACGCCTGTAATCTCAACACTTTGGGAGGCTGAGGTGGGTGGATCACAAGGTCAGGAGATGGAGACCATCCTGGCTAACATGGTGAAACCCCATCTCTACTAAAAATACAAAAAATTAGCCGGGCATGGTGGCGGGTGCCTGTAGTCCCAGCTACTCAGGAGGCTGAGGCAGGAGAATGGCATGAACCCAGTTGGCGGAGGTTGCAGTGAGCCGAGATTGTGCCACTGCCCTCCAGCCTGGGCGACAGAGCGAGACTCCGTCTCAGAAAAAAAAAAATAAATAAATAAAAATAAAAAGGAAATAAAAAAGTAGGATTGAAGCACTGGACAAGAATTGGATAGAGAATCCAAGGCTCATGGAAGCAGGTTTAAGGGAGGAGGCTCTGCAGTACTTGTCTGCGAGCTACAGATTGTAGATCACCCAAGCGAATGACCAAAATGGCAATTTATCTGCGGGGGTAGAAATCAAAGAGAGATGATAAAATAGGATATCCCTCCTGTAGCCTGGAACCAAATCTCTGTCACCTTTTGGCATGTTCACAACCCAAACTCTCTGTGCTTCAGTTCCCTCACCTAAAAAATGTGGCTAATAGTAATACCACTTTCATAACAAGTGTGAAAATTATGGTATACCAGCACTTGGAACATTGTACGTATCCCGTAAACTTCAGAAGTCATTCAACCTAAACTGTTAATGCATTAAGGGTAAGATACTAAATATGTCAGATCATGATAGAAAGGTTAAATAAAGAAAGAGACAACCTTTTTTTTTTTTTTTTTTTTTTTTGAGATGGAGTTTCACTCTTGTTGCCCAGGCTGGAGTGCAATGGCACGATCTCGGATCACTACAACCTCTGCCTCCTGGGTTCAAGCGATTCTCTTGCCTCAGCCTCTCGAGTAGCTGGGATTACAGACATGTGCCACCACGCCCGGCTAATTTTGTATTTTCAGTAGAGATGGACTTTCTCCATGTTGGTCAGGCTGGTCTCCAACTCCTGACCTCAGGCTATCTGGCCACCTTGGCCTCCCAAAGTGCTGGGATTACAGGCATGAGCCACTGTGGCTGGCTGAGACCAATCTTTTTACAGCAGGAGGTTAAGGGTAGATCCTCTTGTGCTATCATGTATACTAGAAGCAGAATTAAAAGGGAATATGTAGTGTTAGGAAAAATGATGGGTTTTCTATTACCACAAAGAAATCTTTGGCCCCTTTTGTGAACTGCCCAAACCTCTTAGCTTACAGGCATTTTTACATAATATCAAACATCTAAAGAAAACATTTAAAAAAAAGTCAGAAACCTTAGGCATTTATTTATAAAATATTCAAGAGAGCCAAATAATGGTCATTTTGTAAATCAGCCAAAGTAATTTGTTCATTAATTTACCAACTACAATCTCTTCAATTACTTGTGTTGATGAGATTCACATTGTTTCATGATAATGGTCAATGCCAAGCTAAAAAATACCCACCAAACTTAGCAAAACACATTCTCAAGATTTTAAGAAGACTTAGAAAAATGATTGCAATTGGGAATAATTAAATTGCCTCATCTCTTAGAAAAAGTTTTGTCTTATAGGAAAAACTGAAATCGGCTTTATGTATCCTTTCTGAAATTAACTCAAATACTGATATCTCCAAAATTAGATTTGAAGGATTAAGAGACAGAAATGTGATAAATCAGCTTATCTTATAAGGCTGTTGGTGGTAACATTACAAAGTAAACAATAGAAACATTTGCTCTGTTGTAAACATAATATTGAAGAAATCAGTAACTTTTGCATATTTTTATTAATATTAAATTTTCTCTATAGTCTGAGAAAAAAGAATTTTATCTATATTCATTTTTTGGCTCTAAATACAAACTGTTTTTAATTAGTGTAAAAACTAAGAACTGTGCTAATTAGTCAAATAAGAATAGGGATAAAGGAAAATACATTTGTTCCATAAATTACTTTTAAAATGAGACTTCAATTAAATCAGCTACTCTGGCAGAAAAATTATAGACATATTTAATAAAGCCTTTTCATAGGAAATTTCACCCCAGGAAAAACTCTTCTAAAATAATTTTACATATCATTCTTAAGGCTGACCTTAAATATCATCTAATATGATTTAAAATACCACAATTTCAACCTGTCTTTCTTTACTTCTTCATCTGGTACTCTTTCCAGAACTATTTAAAAAAATAAATAGATGATTGTATTATACATTATTTTGAAAATTGAGACATGTATTGCAAAATTAGAAAATAAAAAAACAAGGGAAATTTGAGATTAGTACAGAAAAATATGCCGTAATTTGCTTTTCTTTTGTTTTACTCTTGCTTGAATTAAGCTGCAAATTTGGGTGTGTTCTGTATAGCAGCTAATGCAAAGAAGGGAAATAAGATAAATTAAACAATTTACTGTGGTCAGACAATAAAAACAAACTTGTTCTATCACGCTGGAATCATTGAATAAATAAGGCTCAGAAATATGTGACAATTTTGGATTGGATAATTCATCTGGTTCAGCAAGAGGCATCAAAGTTAAAGATATTCTTTTTGTCAAAACTTGTTTTCACTGACTTTGGTGGTTGTGTTTTGACTTGAGCTTTCCTTAAGCAGTGATAAGAGCTACCATTGAATCAGTGAAAGTTAAAGAGATTAAGGCTATAAATTAATTCTCAATTTATTAGCCTTTTCACTATAGATTGAGAAAATATCTGTCTGAGATACCAGCAATTTTGGATTAATATCAAGTGGACCAGTTGAAATGTCTATATTGCAAATGTGGCGCTGAATTAGTAAGATAGTCTTTGGACTTTGTAAGGATCCAAGTCTTGCTAATTTTTCAGTCGTTGAACAGTCTGACTCTGAACCCCATCCTTTATTTCTGTCAAGTTTTTTTTTTCTTCTTATCAAGTTTTGAATGGAATCTAAGGCAAAGAAGAAATTGCTTCCCATATTAATTAGCTATCAAACATTAACAGATAGACTTTTGTATAGTTGTGGATTTCAGAAACAAAGATGGTGGTTTCAACTGGTTTAGGGCTATATTTTATCAGTGAATGTTTTCTAAGGTCTTTGTGGTATAAACCCTCATTTCGTTTTGCAAAAATCACGACTAGGTGACTAGTGTATGACTATGTATCTATTGTCTATTTCTCCCAAAGTAGAAGAAGATACTTTTTTTTGTGATAAGAATTACATGTGTTCATAAAATTCTGTTTCCCTATCACCTAAAAATTTCCCTGGCATGCCATACTTTTAATAAAAAATATTGATAAGTAGACTTTTATTTAGTTATGTGTATATTTATCTTGCCATGCTGTTTTAAGTGGTCCATGTAAACCTTTTTCCACAGGCTGACAGACTAATTCTCATATTCTTGGGTTCAAATGCTGCTACATCCTTTAATAGTTTTGAGCTCACCATCTAAAACAATCTAAACAACTTGGAGTGGCAACATGTAAAACAATCTGACAAATATGCTTCTTATGTTCTCACTCATGAGTAACACATAACTTTCCCATACCATCTATAATTTTGTTTCAGACTTTTAAAATACGAATATGCTCTTCTGCCTGTCATCAAATTCTTCTCAAAATTATCTCATTTATATTAGATAGGAACTTCCATCTTAAACATGTATACACTGAAATCATCAGTTTTATTGAAGGTTAGATGAGGTTAAAAGTAGTTGCATGGATATTGGAATGTTCTATAATTTTGACACTTACAGGTAAGGCTTCTTTTTTTTAACTTAGGAAATTGTACAATGTGAGTAACCAGCCCTAGCATTTAATTTTCTAGTTTAAAAATGATACAGAATTTTTGGGTATTATGGATTTTCATGTTAATTTGTACTATTTTAAACTTGCTCTCAGTGTTCAGTTTCAAAATTAATACTTAACTCTTCTAAAAAATTCCGTAGTCTAGCAAGGGGTTGTAATAAACTGACAATATATTTTATAACAAATAAATAAATAGTCAAGGCTGGCCACATTGACTCATACCTATAATCTCAGCACTTTGGGAGGCCAAGGAAGGGAGATGGCCTGAGCCCAGAAATTTGGGTTCAGCCTCGGGAATATGGTGAAACTCCATCTCTAAAAAAAATACAAAAATGAGCTAGGAGTGGTGGTGCACACCTGTTGTTCCAGCTACTTGGGAGGCCGAGAGGTGGTAGTATTACTTGAGCCCGGGATATCAAGGCTGCAATAAGTTGTAATAGCATGACTGCACTCCAGCCTGGGCAACAGGGCAAGACCCTGTCTTAAACACATAACAAAACAAACAAATAAACAAAAGCAGGTGAATGCTGGCTACCTGGTCTAGTCCAAGACCCTCTAATAGATATAGATTTCTTTTTCTTTTCTTCTTTTTTTTATTATTATTATACTTTAAGTTTTAGCATACATGTGCACAATGTGCAGGTTAGTTACATATGTATACATGTGCCATGCTGGTGGGCTGCACCCATTAACTCGTCATTTAGCAATAGGTATATCTCCTAATGCTATCCCTCCCCCCTCCCCCCACCCCACAACAGTCCCCAGAGTGTGATGTTCCCCTTCCTGTGTCCATGTGTTCTCATTGTTCAATTCCCATCTATGAGTGAGAACATGCGGTGTTTGGTTTTTTTGTCCTTGTGATAGTTTACTGAGAATGATGATTTCCAATTTCATCCATGTCCCTACAAAGGACATGAACTCATCCTTTTTTATGGCTGGCTGCATAGTATTCCATGGTGTATATGTGCCACATTTTCTTAGTCCAGTCTATCATTGTTGGACATTTGGGTTGGTTCCAAGTCTTTGCTATTGTGAATAGTGCCGCAGTAAACATACGTGTGCATGTGTCTTTATAGCAGCATGATTTATAGTCCTTTGGGTATATACCCACTAATGGGATGGCTGGGTCAAATGGTATTTCTAGTTCTAGATCCCTGAGGAATTGCCACACTGACTTCCACAATGGTTGAACTAGTTTACAGTCCCACCAACAGTGTAAAAGTGTTCCTATTTCTCCACATCCTCTCCAGCACCTGTTGTTTCCTGACTTTTTAATGATTGCCATTCTAACTGGTGTGAGATGGTATCTCATTGTGGTTTTGATTTGCATTTCTCTGATGGCCAGTGATGATGAGCATTTTTTCATGTGTTTTTTGGCTGCATAAATGTCTTTTTTTTGAGAAGTGTCTGTTCATATCCTTTGCCCACTTTTTGATGGGGTTGTTTGTTTTTTTCTTGTGAATTTGTTTGAGTTCATTGTAGATTCTGGATATTAGCCCTTTGTCAGATGAGTAGGTTGCGAAAATTTCCTCCCATTTTGTAGGTTGCCTGTTCACTCTGATGGTAGTTTCTTTTGCTGTGCAGAAGCTCTTTAGTTTAATTAGATCCCATTTGTCAATTTTGGCTTTTGTTGCCATTGCTTTTGGTGTTTTAGACATGAAGTCCTTGCCCATGCCTACGTTCTGAATGGTAATGCCTAGGTTTTCTTCTAGGGTTTTTATGGTTTTAGGTCTAACGTTTAAGTCTTTAATCCATCTTGAATTAATTTTTGTATAAGGTGTAAGGAAGGGATCCAGTTTCAGCTTTCTACATATGGCTAGCCAGTTTTCCCAGCACCATTTATTAAATAGGGAATCCTTTCCCCATTGCTTGTTTTTCTCAGGTTTGTCAAAGATTAGATAGTTGTAGATATGCAGCATTATTTCTGAGGGCTCTGTTCTCTTCCATTTGTCTATATCTCTGTTTTGGTACCAGTACCATGCTGTTTTGGTTACTGTAGCCTTGTAGTATAGTTTGAAGTCAGGTAGCATGATGCCTCCAGCTTTGTTCTTTTGGCTTAGGATTGACTTGGCGATGTGGGCTCTTTTTTGGTTCCATATGAACTTTAAAGTAGTTTTTTCCAATTCTGTGAAGAAAGTCATTGGTAGCTTGATGGGGATGGCATTAAATCTATAAATTACCTTGGGCAGTATGGCCATTTTCACGATATTGATTCTTCCTACCCATGAGCATGGAATGTTCTTCTATTTGTTTGTATCCTCTTTTATTTCATTGAGCAGTGGTTTGTAGTTCCCCTTGAAGAGGTCCTTCACATCCCTTATAAGTTGGATTCCTAGGTATTTTATTCTCTTTGAAGCAATTGTGAATGGGAGTTCACTCATGATTTGGCTCTCTGTTTGTCTGTTATTGGTGTATAAGAATGCTTGTGATTTTTGTACATTGATTTTGTATCCTGAGACTTTGCTGAAGTTGCTTATCAGCTTAAGGAGATTTTGGGCTGAGACAACGTGGTTTTCTAGATATACAATCATGTCGTCTGCAAACAGGGACAATTTGACTTCCTCTTTTCCTAATTGAATACCCTTTATTTCCTTCTCCTGCCTAATTGCCCCCAAGGATGAACTGGTACCATTCCTTCTGAAACTATTCCAATCAATAGAAAAAGAGGGAATCCTCCCTAACTCATTTTATGAGGCCAGCATCATCCTGATTCCAAAGCCGGGCAGAGACACAAACAAAAAAGAGAATTTTAGACCAATATCCTTGATGAACATTGATGCAAAAGTCCTCAATAAAATACTGGCAAACCAAATCCAGCAGCACATGAAAAGGCTTATCCACCATGATCAAGTGGGCTTCATCCCTGGGATGCAAGGCTGGTTCAATATATGCAAATCCATAAATGTAATCCAGCATATAAACAGAACCAAAGACAAAAACCACATGATTATCTCAATAGATGCAGAAAAGGCCTTTGACAAAATTCAACAATGCTTCATGCTAAAAACTCTCAATAAATTAGGTATTGATGGGATGTATCTCAATAAGAGCTATCTATGAGAAATCCACAGCCAATATCATACTGAATGGGCAAAAACTGAAAGCATTCCCTTTGAAAACGGGCACAAGACAGGGATGCCCTCTCTCACCACTCCTATTCAACATAGTGTTGGAAGTTCTGGCCAGGGCAATTAGATACAGATTTCTACTTATAACTTGTGCTTTGAGAAATTTAACTGCATGATGCCCCATTGTTTGTATAAAATGTGGATCCTCACAGAGGAACATATTAAAGTAGACTTCAGTCTACTTTAAGATAAATTAAAGATCTAAATTAGAAAGTTAAAACTATGAGGGTAAGAGAATTGTGGTATAGAAGAACATCTTTTTAAAGAAAGCTACATCATAGTAAATTGGCATATTTAATACATTAAAATAAAAACAATTCAGTTAAAAGGACAATACCTGGAACAAATATAACAAAGATGACCTGTTGGAAACAATATGCAAAATGTCTAATAATGTTAGAAGGTTAAAATCAAGAAAACACAAGAGAGTCCTACAAACCAACAGCTTATTCAATAAGTAAACTAAAGGTGTCATCAAGTAACTTGAGAAGAAATCCAATTCACTGCATAAATATGAAGAGCTGTTTTATAATTAGAAATATGTATTTTGACTGGGCATAGTGGCTCATGCCTGTAATCCCAGCATTTTGGAAGGCTGAGGCAGAAGGATCTCTTGAGCCTTGGGGTTCAAGACCAGCTTGGGCGACATAGGAAGACCTCATCTCTACAAAAACAAAAACAGAAGCAAAAACAAAAACAAAAACAAAGCCAGGCATGGTGGCGCACACCTGTGGTCCCAGCTACTTGGGAGGCTGAGGTGGGAGAATTGCTTGAGCTGGGGAGTTCAAGGCTGCAGTGATCTGTGATCACGCCACTGTTCCAGGTTGGGCAACAGGGCAAGACACTGTCTAAAACAAAACAAAACAAGAGAGAATATATATATTTTAAGACAGTTTAGCAAATTATAAAACTGGATAATAATTAGTGTTATAGATATGAGCCCAATGTACTATTCATGTGAATATAGACTGCTCCAGGCATTCTGAAGAGCAAGGCTTATTCAAATTGATAAAGCTCTAACCATAAGAACCAGCCCACCCCACTCTTGGATATGAACCACAGAGAAATTTTCATAGTGCTCCATAAGAGGTTATATTTATGAACATTTATTACAGATGGGTGTGTGAGTATGTGTGTGATTGCAGGGAGTAGGAGATAATAATTATATCCAATACTGTCAAATATAAAACCCAAATGTGAAGGATGGTTTTGCAGGGAATGAAATGATGAAACGTACACATAGCAACAGGAATATAGTGTTAAAAATAATATAGTTAGAAACATTTAAAATATGTACACAGAAAACTACATTACATTTTCTAAATGAAAACATAAGAGTAAAATAACACACATCAAACACATTTTAAATTGTTGTCTATGGCATAGAAACAGAGCTGGGGGTGAGAAATGGGAGTGAAATAAAACATGACGGGAACAAAGAGTATCAGTAGCATCAGTAGCATAAACATATGATTGTATGCAGATGCCCAAGGTCTAAAAATAGCATGTTTAAGATAAACTTTAAAAGGAAAGTAGATGATGATGGATGGTGATGAGAAGCACTCATTGGGAGTTGCTGACGGGCTTAAGTTAACAGTTATGGAAATCATATAACATAATTCTGTAATTGCTGGTAGTTTAGGGTATGCCATCTTGGTTCTAGGGTTATGCTACACAGAAAAATCCTGAATTGCAAAAGTAGATTCTTCACTTCTTCAATGGAATTAGGAAAAAAAAGAAAGCTTCATATGAATTCCAAAACACAAATTTATTCTTTTAGTTCTTTGCTAACTGTATTATTGCACTTGGTATAAAATGCTTTCTTTAAGAGAATGTAAAAGCTGTTTGGATTCAGTGACATTTTAATGCTAAGCAGTGAAAGCTCTTCTAAAGCAGCACATTAAAAAGCTACAACTGGGGGAAGTTAGCTTCTAATTAATGAGCTTTAAGACAGAGGGAAAAAATCAGCTACATAAAGACATACTTAAGCTTACAGCCCTCAGAGAGAAAACAATCCTCATTAGTGACTAAAGCATTGAGGTTTGGAGTCAAAACAGCTTATCAACCAAAGATAATCTAAATATGAAAACATATTGCTTTGATTGCAATTACTACCTAGGTTTTAATAATTAATCTCTCAGAAATATGCTTTGTGTACTTGCATATGTGAAAGAAAAAAAAGCAAGGAGGAATGTCAGTGTTTTAGGACAAAAAATTATGTAAGCCTCAATTCCTGACCTAATTGTAAAAAACACATGTAAATTTTCAATCTGAGACTCTGGTCTTGGGCCAGGAGATGGGCCCTTCTGCTATACCATGGTGTCCCTGTGACCCTGGACTAGGTGAACTCACATTGTCGTGCATATTGTAATCAAATGATTTACTGTTTGAAATGATAATGGTACTTTTTAATATATGAAGGCAAGATTGGGAGAGGTGGGGATTTTACAAACAATGCAAGTAGCTTAGCGTCTCTGTTTTGTCTCTGACAAATATTAATATGTAAATTTTAATAACTTTAATTGGAATTTCTTGAAGTGGTATATAGAAAACAATAGCACTATTGGTCCCAATTTCTTATGAAGCTGATTGCATTTAAAAAACACACAAGTAAAGAACACAGTTGAATTTCAGGAGATAAATGTTAACTCCTATAAAGGATAGATTTTTCTGAAGGATTTCCAGTATTGCATGGCTTATATACTGGTTTTTCATATTGAAAGTCAAAACAGAAGTTGTTTTTTATTCTGTGCTTGGCTTATCAATAAAAAAACTATTAGAAGTCAAGATAAGCATCATCATTCAAAATAGCTGTGCTGCAATTGTTCTTTTAATTCACACTGAAAGCTACCAAAAGTGTAGAACACTTACTAAGCTCGTTTTTGAACACCTACTTCCAGGTTTTAATTTTTGGAAGAGAGGGACAGGTTTTTGTATTATTACCAGAGGCTTCTGTTTCTGCATTTCGTTTTCTTACAGATTTATTTTTTAGAATGATTTGTGGTTCATAGCAAAACTGAATGGAAAGTTAGAGATATTCCATAAACCTCCTTTTCTGCACAGGCATAGCCTCCCCCATGAGAGTGGTACGTGTGTCATAATTTATGAACCAGCACTGACGCATCACTATCACCCAGAGTCTGTAGTTTACATTACGGTTCACTCTTGGTGTTGTACATTCTATGGGTTTTGACATATGTGTAATGACTTGTATCCATCATTTTAGTATCCTACAGGTATTTTCACTACCCTAAAAATCCTGCTTTCCACCTATTCATCCCGCTCTCTCGGCTTAAGCCCTTGGCAACCACTGATTCTTTTACTGGATTTCTAGTTTTGACTTTCCCAGAATGTCATATAGTTGCAATTTTACAGTATATAGCTTTTCAAATTGTCCTTACTCACTTAGTGATATCCATTTATGGTTCCTCCATGTCTTTTTGTGACTTGATAACTCATTTTTTAGCTCAGAATAAAAGGAAATACCTTTGGAGGTACCATGGTTTATTTATCCATTCACCTAATAAAGGTCATTTTGTTTGCTTACAAGTATTTGCAATTTTGAATAAAGTTGCTGTAAAATATGTATTTGGAAGATTTTATGTGGTCTCTGCATTTCACTTTAATAACTAAATTTTACATGAATCAATTAGAGAATATCCAGTAGGGAAAATTACTAGCCATCAACCTGAAGGTGGAAAGCTAGAGCATCAACTTATAGAGAATTCAATTCCTTCTTTTTTTGTATCTCCCTTTATTAAAAAGACTTACTGAAAAGATTGAATCTAATATTACTCAATAAATCCCAAACAGAAGTTTTTAAACTTGAATTTATTCTCTGCCAACTTAAACCTCAGCTTCCTCATCTACCAAAAGAGGATGATAATTTTTAGCTTGGGTGCTATGTAGAGTTGACTGAATTAATATGTTTTTCTAGCATGCTGCCTTCCACAAATTGGTTTCAAAATGGCATTAGTCAAATTTAGTATTATTCACAAGGTATATTCAAACAAATTTGATCCAGAGTATAATTTTGAAGCAATTGGATTGATTAAATGTATTTCCTCCAAATAATTGTTATGCATTCTCCCATTTTTTCCTGGATTTCTTTCTTCAGAAATTACTTCCTGTAATATTTTTAATCTCTAAGCACAAACTGTGTTATCTGAAAAATTGATTAATCCATTCAATAAAATACAATACCTACTTTAAGGGCATGCCAATTAAACTGTTACCACGATTTTGGGGTTTCTTGTGTTACCTTTCTTTCATGGATCTATATTTATTTGATCTTGAAAATTTAGTATAGATGTATTATAAAATAGAAACTGTAGTGTGCACTTATTAATAATGAAAACTAATCCAATTTATGTTAGTAAAATTCCATTCATGCAATCGCAGCTAAATATACCAAACCAAATACTTGGTTCTGACTAACTTCTTTCAAATCACATAGACATAATAACATGGAACATTATCTAGGGACTTGAAGTTAGTTGGAGCTCTGTTGTAAAATACAAATTGAGAAGAAAAACACAAAAATGAAAATTCAGACTATCTAAAATAAGTTTTAGATTTATTATTTAGTAGACTTTTATTCTGTATTATTTCTTAGAGTGCTGGAATTTTAGCTCTTGATTTATTCATTTCAAATACTGACTGGATATATTACAGTCCAAAATTTTGCTGATTGGACTAATTAATAAGTTAGCAGATCTATTAAAAATTTTCAAAGGAAAGGTTGTAACTTCTGGCAGTTTAGTTGGGTCTTTAATAGTGAATAAAAGCTTTGAGATAATATGAGGTTTTATTTTTTTTTAAGTACAATGATTATACCGAGAAAAAATGGATTATAAAATGTCAAGGGAAATTTAGCCAAATATAACTTGTAGTGATCACAAGTAATAGTGTGTGCCACTGATACCAGGAAAATATGTTGAAATTACTTCTGTTGCCATGCTGTCACTTCCCATTAAGAATAGATACGCTGAAAAATCATGGTAAATTTTCAAAAGCAGTGAAACTCCAACAGATAGCTTCTGTTTTGACCTTTTTAATAAGTTGTTTGAGGACAGAAATGAAAATATTAGATTCATTTTTTCAGTCTCTGCACTGGAAAAAATACATACTCAAATTTTGACAAATTTTGGCTTAAAGTGTTATCGACGTCTGTTTATGAGAAAGCACATTTGGACTTTTAAAATATTTTAAAATAAATCCATATTATTAAATGCTCCATAAAATATTAGATATATTTTGAAATGTTATTAACAGTATGCTATGAATACATGCACTTTTTCATTATTTAAACCAATATTTACATAAAATACTTTATTTTTGTAAATGTGACCTTATAGAGAATTAAAATAGGGTTTTATCAAGGAAGGTCTGCTTGCTTCTCAGAGGTGATACTATAGATTGTAGTGATTTGGTGCTTTCCCCATTTCCAGTGAAAATATCTTATTTTATTCAATAGCTAAATTATTAAATGTCAAGCATTTTGCTTCATTTAAAAAAGTTATGAAGTGTTATTATGGCATTGACAAGCTGATTAATGCAACAGCAATAGGAAATTGAGAAAGTGGGATTCAAAATAATTAGGTCTGTCTTCATTGCTGTACCATATTGCTTCTCAATCAGTACTTATTTTGGCTTTGAAATACGTATCATGCTAATTAGTGTAAGTGAGACTGATATAGATATCCTAATACAATTGCCAAAATTTAAAAATGAAGATATTTATTTTTCCAACCTAAACAACTACTTTCATCTATTCAAGCGCCATAGCCTTCAGAATTCTACAATAAGAAGAAATAGAGAGAAAATAGTTGTTAAATATTACCGTTTATTCATGCCATATTATATACCTATCTATATTTGTACATATAAATATATACACATAACATTCAATATATTAAAATATATAAAACCATATTGGAAAGAAAGCCTAAATTATCCTTGCATTCCCATTCGAAACACTAATGACTTTTCAAATATTCGGTTTTTAGCTTTCAGTTGTAGAACTCCACTCTTTTACATAGTACCTATTCCGATGAGTACTACATGATCTATGTCTATCTGTAGATATGTAAAGATATAGATCATGTAGTGGTCTGAAACTGACACAGACGTAGATCATGTAGTAGTCTGAAATTGGCACTATGCAGAAGGGTGGAGTTCTATAACCACCATAATCAATTACCATAGATCATGTGGTAGTTCGGAAAGACAGCCTTTAACTTTTTTTTCTATCTCTATGTACATACCAATTCTCCTAGGAGGTGAATTTGTTTCCACTGAGTTTGAAAGTGGTTGTTGCTCTAATAAAGACCTAATACATGTGACATTGGCTCTGGCGTCAAGCAGTAAGAAAAGCCTAGGAAGACAAGAAGAAGATTGTTAATGGAAACTGTAAATTCAATGAAGCTATTGCTACTGGAGACTGAAGAAAAGTAGGCACATTATATTCTGATGGAAAAACCAGCAGGACAGTTGACTGCATTACATGCATAATAGAAAATACACCTGATGAATTTGAGGACTACTAAATATATTTCAAGGCATAATGTTCAAAGTGCCAATTGGTTTATATATGACATGATAAGATATTACAAGAGAGATTAATAAAAGGCAGAGCTGTTCAGCTTTAAGCAAAATTTGGAGGAAATATTTCATACCCAAAATTGCTAAGTTGGAAAATGTGTTTTCTTATCTTCTACTATTCCTAACAAAAAAATTTTCTCAAAGTGGGAAACAGCCTTATGATAAACATTTAAAGTGCACCTAGTAAAATGTTGATTAATGGTAAAGATAAAACTACAAGTTGAGCCTGCAAGTTCCCTATTAAAATATTTGAAATATTTAAGGGGGTCACTTGCAATCTCTTGCAGCTAGACAAAATGGATTCTAAGAATCTAAATGGCATTGTCCAAAAGCAGCCTTATCTGCCTACAGTAGAGATTTGTCTGTCTCAAAATGAATTATAGACGAGTGTTTTGGGAGAACGAATGAATCCCAATGTTGTTCATTGAAATCAACAATGTTTTTAAGAGAATTGTATTAGTGAAAGAATCAACAGCTTGGAATAAAAGAGGAAGAGTTAGCTGAAAAGAAAGGAGGAATCTGGGCCTCCTATCTTTTAAGGGCAGAAATTAGCTGAGAAAGATAGTTGTAAACATAGGCTATGTTTCATTAAAACATTAAGAGTGAACTCCAAGAGCAGAAACCAACTCCCAGAAAATAGTGCTAATGGCCATGGAAGTGCATTTCCAGAGAGAAAATGGGGCCTTAATTGAAAACTATTCCCTGCTTTGGACGTAGAAATCACTAACAATATATGCACAATTGGATTTCAAAACAGGTGTAAACCATTGACTGCTAGGTGCTTCCATTCACCTCTTTATTGGAGTTTCTGTGATTTTTTTTTCTCATTTCTGCTTCATTATTACATGTTATGTGGTAGGGTAAGGGAGAAAAATAATTTCGTTTTTACACAGATAGTTAGATTTAGAGAAACTTCAAGTAAGTTATGTTTTTAGCTCTGGAACAAGAGAGCTAAACTGAGAAGCTACAACTGAGTAATTTCCCCTAGGGAGGCGTTTCTGTACCTGGACCTAATTTGCATGATGCAATTCTTGGCTTTTTGCTAATACTGTTTTTGGATAGATTTGTGACATGAGGGATGTGTATGTTTTGCATATTTCTAGAGTAGCTCGTTTCAGTCACCAGTTGAATACCACTTGAATACAGTTGAATACAGAATAAGCTCTAACTGACACCAAGTGGAACAGAACTGCCCAGCCCAGCACTGCTTACATTTCTGACCTACAGAAATATGAGAAATAATAACTCATTGTTGTCCTAAACTACAAACTATTAGAGCTTTTTCAAATGTAGGAATGAATAACTAAAACAGAACAAGAATAAACATTTATCCTTTTCTTAGCATTTGTGATAACCATAAACAGTTCTATAATGATTAGGTATCATAGATATATACTAATCATTGTTACAAATTATGAATCAATTAAAAAATGACAGAATTATATTTTAAAGATAAAATAATTGCATTGTAAATAAGTTGGTAAAATTTCCACTTAACATCAGATTTGGTAACAAATTAGAACAATATATTGGGCCTAAAAAAGATTTTTGCTTGGCATAATTTTTATCCTTTTATTTACATAAAAATACATATATTTCTCAGTTTACCTAATATTCTTGGTACAAACAAGTGTTCTGGCCATGAAACAACAATATGGAATGAATGCATGAGGGAGACAAAAGGAAAAATCCCATTGTAGATTTTAGAATTGCATTAATTTAGTCATGTGCTTATTTAGTCACATGATTAATTATTAGTAGGTATGATAAAGCTGTTCATATAGCTGCAGGCCTCTTTGATTTGTTGAAATATATATGGCACAGAAAAAATACTTGTCCTATGAAGATGACTTTTATAGTTGCTATGAGTCTATCATAAATATATTAAAAGTTTTGATAATGTAATATGGCTATGAAACAAAAATCAATTAAAAGTACAAACAAAATGAGTTTAACCTGTTTCCTTTTATATTACACTCTTTTTTAATTTATCTAATATCAAAACATGCAAAGTCATTTATTTTGTGAGACTTAGAAGAGAAATATAATTAGGCTCTAGATGAGTTGCAATTCTTGGGACCAATGACGACTTCAGTTGTATGGGGTAATTGATGGGACCATAGAAGTATATATATATAGTAACTCTGGATTTTATTTTATAGCATTACTTATTGAAAATTACCATATTAATATTTGTAAGTGGATATAAAATATCTTAAGAAAACAGTGATAAAATAAAGTACTTAAAATGTTCTTTGTTTATATATTAGGCCTATTTGTTGAAAGTGACAAAAAATCCAACTTGAACTCATTTACATCAGAAAATAATTGATTGTAAAGTAGAAGCAAAGTTTTCACAGTAATGTTGAATTCAGACATGTATTCAAATCTTGTCAAGACTCCATTTCCTTTTATGTCTTGATTCTGTCTTCATCTACATTATTTTCACACTCAAGTTTTACATCATGGAAAGTTGCTGTGCGTTAATCTACACCATGAATCAGTGAGTGAGTGAAACTGGAATGCTTATTAGACTTCTGAAAGAGCTTTTAAAAACAACCCCTACCTAAACCTAGCTCCTTAGATTCTATGTCTGGCGTGGGGCCCACACATCCCTATTTTTAAAAGCTCCTTAAGTGTCAGTAACGAAAAGAACTCTTCTCTTCACTCAACAGAGGAACAACAGTCCTGAGTGCAGATCTCATAGGCCGCTAATGGATCAGTAGGCCACACTTGAACCAGTCTTTTTAGGTCACTCTGCAAGATTTAGGCCAATCAGAGCTCACCAATTAGCTAGTGATTATGGCAACTACATCCAAACCGTGTACAGGGAGAGAGTTGTGTAGCATTGTACTTAAGGAAAGTTACTGTAATCTTTTGCCAGAAAGATGAAAGATTTCCTGATAGCAAAAGCGGCAATTATCCAGATAAAAAAGTGGACACTTCTGAGAGTTATTTTTCGAATTCTTGGGTAGTCATAACAAGGAATTAGAAAGCAAAAATACTGTAAACATTGCATTTCACTTTAAATTATAAGAAGCTGTTTCTGTTGTGTTATGTAGATTCTAGAGATGTTAAAATATATAAACATAAATATGTATTTTCTATGTACTTTGAGCTATTATTAATATTCTTACAATATTTAAGAACTTCCCCCCATTGTGTGAAAGTTATTTTACAACTAAAAATTATGTGTTTTACAGATTCTTTTTTTCTGAATGAGATTAAAAATTGTGTCAAAATTATTTCCTCCTAAATTCAAGCAATGGGGGAAAGACTCATTGACATGCATATTAGAATGTTATCCATTATATATTCTTCATTTCCCTACTTAGAGATCTATGGTATGGATTTTTTTTTTTTTTTGAGGTGGAGTCTTGCTCTATCACCCAGGCTGGAGTGCAGTGGCATTTCAGCTCACTGCAACCTCCGCCTCCTCCCAGGTTCAAGCAATTCTCCTGTCTCAGCCTCCTGAGTAGCTGGGAAAACAGGTGCCCATCACCACGCCTGGCTAATTTTTATGTTTTTAGTAGAGGCGAGGTTTCACCATGTTGGCCAGGCTGGCCTCGAACTACTGACCTCAAGTGATCTGCCTGCCTCGGCCTCCCAAAGTGCGGTATGGATTTTTTATAATTACTACTGTACTTGATTATTTGATGCTCACTTAAGCCTCAAAAATCTCAGATACCATTGTGAGACATCATGATGTACATAGGACTACAAGTACTAGAGAAACTGAGGCTGGGTGCAACAAGCCATGTAGGAAGGGAAATAAATTGGATTACCTTAATTTAACAGACACTCAGAAATTACTATTACCTGTCCACAACAGAGCAAGTATTTTCAGGGGGAAGCCAGAGTTGTAATTTCTTTGTTAATGCATTTAACACTCTGTAATGTAATGAATAGGGGCAATTAAATAAAGCTCATTGTGAATACCTACACACTAATATACACACACAGTGGCATTAGTTAGTATTCTTGGTTTCGACATTTTTTTGTTGTAATCACAATGACTTGACTCTGGTTAATGTGAAGAAAAAATGAATTTGGGTTTATATTTCACATTTTTTAAAAATTAATTAAGATTTTTGTCTTTAGATACTCTTTTTATTTTCCTAAAAAATAATTATAGGAGCTCATATAATTAAATGAATTACAAATGAATGAACTGTACCTTTAGATAAAACTTAAGTGTAATAGAAAAAAAGATGAATTTATTGAAAAGATGGTGAGCTGTCTTGAGCAATTAGAAGAGAAAATAACCCAAGGAAGGGGAAAAACCTGGACACTTCAAGAGTATCAGCAAAGAATTTCATCAACTTTCTGGTTAACATATATCCTTGCTGTTAACAATGTGGTCCAGCTAAAAAGCAGCCAAAGCACTGCTTAAGAGCTTACAAGAAAGGCAGAACTGCTCTCTGTATCCTAGACCTGAATCTGCATTTTAGCAAGTCCTTTGGTTATCCATAGGCACATTAAAGTTTGAGAGCCACTTCAATTAATGTGACTCAAAGATAATAATTAATCTCTGTGTCTCTGTGTTCCACATTCAAAGCTACAGGAGAGAAAATCTGATTAACTCTGCTCTGATCAGCTGTGATTTGGGGACAAGTCAAAGAGAACAAACACTGGCTCTTGGAGTTCCTAATTTGGTCTGTGTGGTCTGACTGAAGCAGGGCATTATTTCATAAACTCAGAATCACTCCTCTGCTTTTTATCAGGTGTGCATTAGGTATGAACATGAAATATATTTTTTTAAAGCAGAAAATCAGGAGACTTACCCCAAAAAAAGGTAAAAATAAGAGATGTGAAAGAAGTGTTAGACCCATGACATACGTGTGTGTGTGTGTGTGTGTGTGTGTGTGTGTGTATTTGGAAAAAGTAGAAAATCTCCTTAACAAATAATCAATGAAAAATTTTTGAGTTATGCTTAGGGACAAGAGAAAGTATTTAATCATAGATATCTGGGGAATTTTGGGGATATTATCAACAAATAGGTAAAAGTAAAGTTGGTTTCATACATCACAATGAATAAGAAAATATATTATTGAATATTGATTGTATTTTATTAAAAAGACAAATTCTCTGATTCGTCAGACTTTAATAATTAATATAATTTTTGAATGCCATAGAAAATATATGAAGAACTTTACTGAAGAGGAAGGATTTTCAATATACATTGTTAAGAACACAAACCGTAGTACATTTTGAATTGGATAAAATGTGTACGTAATTAAGTATAAACACTGTCAATGAACACACACAATGATATACACAAGACTATATATTATGTATGTAGACACATATATTGACATGCCCCAAATGCATGATAAATCATTAGACAAACCCAAATTGAGGAAATGTCTTCAATATGACTGATAAGGATGGCGGGGGTGGGGAACAGATAAGCAGAAATTAAGGAAACATGGCAAAATATTTAATACAGTATACTTGAAGGAATCATGGACCAGGAAAAATGCACATGAATTGGGAATCTGAGTAAGGTTTATAGCTTAGTTATTAGTACTACAGCAACGTTTCCTAGTTTGATCATAGTTTTTCCTTACATAAAAACTATTTCTGTAAGATACTTACATTTGTTTAAACAGGTTAAGGGTTCATTGGGAATCTAATGCTACTTTTTTTTTTTTTTTTTTTTTTACCTTTTCTGTAAGTCTCTGTGTAATCCAAATAAAAAGGTGACAAATAAAAACTTACGTTCTTCTTCACTTATATTTCTTTTCTATATTTTCTTCAGCTTAAGAGTAATTTTCTACAGTTACTTTAACAGAGGAGACAATAAAAATCAAATTAAAGTAAAGAGTTAAGTGTACACATGAATTGTTAAGACGCCTTTAGAAATTGAATTAACTTAGTAGCTCTTTTATATATGTTGTATTTTTGGTTGTCCATCTCTTTGGAAATAATATTTAATAAATGATTTAAAAATGTATTCATTTTTAAAAGTGCTATCAAAGCAATAAATATCAATTTTGCTTATCTCACACAAAGAAAGCATTATTTATAATGAAGAAGGTAATTTTATTCCTGTCTTTTTTTTTTTTTTTTTTGAGACGGAGTCTCGCTCTGTCGCCCAGGCCGGACTGCGGACTGCAGTGGCGCAATCTCGGCTCACTGCAAGCTCCGCTTCCCGGGTTCACGCCATTCTCCTGCCTCAGCCTCCCGAGTAGCTGGGACTACAGGCGCCCGCCACCGCGCCCGGCTAATTTTTTGTATTTTTAGTAGAGACGGGGTTTCACCTTTATTCCTGTCTTATACCTAGCACACAGTACTAAATACTACGACATTTAATATCCAAACAGTGGTTTTAAATAAGCAGTACTTTTTTCTTGTTGGATGCTAAATCATGTTATCAGCTCATGTTCAACTTTAGCAATAAATAATTCCTTTTAGTAAAAGTCTCATTGTGTAGATTTTCCAGATCATATAAATATTTCTTAAGCCACATAAAATTCAGTGCATGAGATTAGGTTCTAAAGCATATCGAATATGTATAAGCCATCAACCAACTTTTAAAATAGCTTACTTATTTTAAAAAGAGTTTATACTACAATCAGACTATTGAAGAATGAAAATACTGCATCACAGAGAGCATATAATTGAATTAAATTTGTTTCCTAGGTTGTATGATACCCAGTGTAAACGTTATGCTGATCAAGAACAACAGAAATCAATGTTGGATAGTATTATCTTGGGAAGTATACTAGAACCATGGAGACATAGATTAGCCTAAAAGGTCAATATAATTCAGACACTATTGAAAAGATATTTAACAACATGTCTGTCCTGTATTAGTGGTGAGCAGGGACTTTGAGGACAGTAAATAGTCAAGTTTCTATTCAATAATTTGTCTTTAGTTACTTGTCCATCCTTGGGCAAGTCGCCTAGCACTTTACAGTCCACTTCCTCTCCTCTAAATGTGAGGAGTAACTTACAAATATTTTAAGTTCTAATATTTTCTGCTTTTTAAAATAGAATTTATTTTTATAGATATTTTAGGTTCAAAGCAAGATTGAATAGAAAGTATAAGGAGTTCCCATATACTCTCTGCCCACCTATACCCCCATATGCACAGTCTCTGTCACTATAGACCTCCCCCACCAAAATGGTGTATTTCTTACAATTGATGAACCTACATTGATACATCAGTATCACCAAAAGTCCATAGTTTACATCAGGTTCAGTCTTAGTGTTGTATATTATATGGGTTTTGGCAAATGTATAATACAGGTGTCTACCATTTTAGTATCATACAGAATATTTTCACTGCCCTAATATTCTATTCATTTCTTCCTCCCAACCCCTAGCAACCACTGATCGTTTTACTGCCTTTATAGTTTTGCCTTTTCCAGAATGTCATAAAGTTGAAATCATACAAGGGGTAGCCTTTTCAGATTTAGTTGATTCACTTAGTAATATGTATTTAAGTTTCCTTCATGTCTTTTTATGACTTGATAGCTCATTTCTTTTTAGCCCTGAATAATATTCCTTTGTCTGGATGTAGCAAGATTTATCTATCTATTCACCCGCCAAAATATATCTTGGTTGCCTTCAAGTTTTGATAATCATGAAAAAGTCTGCTATAAACATCCTTGTCCAGGTTCTTATGTGGACATAAGAATTTTTTTCTTTTGGATAAATGTCAAGGAATGTAATTCTGGGTTATTAAAAATATATTTAGTTTTGTAAAAAAAAAAATCCAAATTATCTTTCAGAACGACTGTACTATTTTGCATTCCCACCTGGAATGCAAGTTTCTGTTGCTCCACATCTTTGCCAGAATGTGGTGGTGTCAGTATTTTTTGTTTTGGACATCCCTTTAGTTCAAATGGTACCTCGTTGTGTGTAGTGGTATCTTATTGTTTTATGTTGCAATTCCCTAATAAATGGATATTGAGCATTTTTATACACTTATTTGCCATCTGTATGTCTTCTTCAGTTAAATGCCTATACATCTTTTGCCCATTTTTTAATCAAGTTGTTTGCTTATTGTTGAGTTTCAAGTTTTCTTTGTGTATTTTGGATAGCAGTCCTTTATCAGATGTGTCTATTGCAAATAGTTTCTTCCAGTCTTTGGCTTGTCTTTGCATTTTCTTGATGGTGTTTTTCACAGAGCAGTGTTTTTGTTTTCTTTTTTTTTAATGTTGATGTAGTTCTACTTATCAATTATTTCTTTCATGGATCATGCCTTTGGTGTTGTATCTAAAAATTCATGGTCAAAACCAAGGTCAGGCCGGGTATGGTGGCTCCCTTCTGTAATCCCAGCATTTGGAGGGCCTCAGGCAGGAGGATCACTTGAGCTCAGGAGTTTGAGACCATCCTGGACAACATAAGGAGACACCCCCATGTCTACAAAAAATAAAAAAATAAAAAAGTTAGCCATGTGTGGTGGTGCATGCCAGTAGTCCCATCTACTTGGGAGGCTGAAGTGGGAGGATCACTGGAGCCCTAGTGGTCCAGGCTGCAGTGAGCTGTGATTGTGTCACTATACAGAAGTATGGGTGACAGTGAGAAGCTATTTTTTTTTTTTTTAAATGGCCAGGCGCAGTGGCTCACACCTGTAATCCCAGCACTTTGGGAGGCCGAGGCAGGCGGATCACAAGGTCAGGAGATCGAGACCATCCTGGCTAACATGGTGAAACCCCGTCTCTACTAAAAATACAAAAAAATTAGCTGGGCGCGGTGGCGGGCGCCTGTAGTCCCAGCTACTCGGGAGGCTGTGGCAGGAGAATGGCGTGAACCCAGGAGGCGGAGCTTGCAGTGAGCCGAGATCGCACCACTGCAGTCCAGCCTGGGCGACAGAGCGAGACTCCGTCTCAAAAAAAAAAAAAAAAAAAACCAACTAGAAAAGGGGAAAAAAAACAAAGTTATGTAGATTTTCTTCTATTTAAGAATTTTTTTTCTTAATCCTTCTGCCTTAACCTCCCATCTCCCGTGATCCTTAAAGGAATCATGGACCAGAAAAATTTGGGATTACAGACATGAACCATGGTGCTTGCTTGGCCTTCTAAGAATGTTATACTATACTTTTTGCATTCTACACTTAGGTCTATGATTTATCTTGAGTTAATTTTTGTGAAGGTTCTAAGGTCTGTGTCTAGATTGATTTTTTTTTTTTTAATTTGTGGCTATCTTTTTTCCATTGCATGGCTTCGCACCTTTGTCAAAGATCAGCTGAATATAATTTTTTAGGTTGCTTCTTACCTTTTAACTTGGTATATGTGTATTCTGATGTAACTTTGACAATATCTGTAAAAATATAATGCTGATATTCAAGCTCAAAAGTAATTTTCCTCTAGAAATTGGAGCTATGGCAATTAAGAAATGAAAAACTCTGTTTCTTGAAGCTGAATCTAATGCACATAAATTATCTAACAATTTTATTTTGGTATATCTGGATACCTTCCTGGATTAAGAATGGTTAAGAATATAGAGGAGTTCCAAAACTCATACTTTCCAAGAGAAGAGAAAGTAAACCCATCAGTTTATTTTCCATTTTTAAGATTATTTTAATAGTATCATTATCAATAATAGACAAGCTACTATGTCACCATACTATTGAAGAAGAAAAGCATTTAATCACCTCACTGAGATTCATGTACCTGCCTAATCACTATACTATGTTATCCCATTGCAAGCATGTATTAGCATATATTAAGAGTAATACAGCAAAATCAAACATTCACAATATGTCAAACATTTGCAAAGAAAGTGAAAAGCAAGATGCTCATTTACTTCTTTAGAAATGCTAATTAATCATGAACAGAGCTCTACCGGAGGAGTTATCTAAGAGCAGGCCTACTCACAGTAACAGCTTTGTGGGTTAGGAAAATGGCATTGTTCCAAAAAGAAAAAAAAAAAAAAAACCACAGCAAACTTCAACCTTAATTGGAAATAACAAAAAGAAACTTTGAAACCCAGAAGAAGGAAACAAAACAAAAGGCTGGAAATGGTAAAAAAAAGAAACACAGGCACTTCAAAAATAAATTCCCCTAGGAAAAAGGCTGAAATCACACTGTGACGTTATAGAGAAACCTCAATGGATAGTTTCTAATTTACATCTGGAAGTGATATTTCTTGATCACAGACTTTTACAAATTTTAACAATAACTTTAAAGTTCAAAACCATGGCAATGAAAGCAAAAAGGCAGTGACTGGTGAACAATTGGATGGTACTGATTTATTTTCAGATTTACAAGATAAAATGTGGCAAATAAACCTTTAATTATTTTTGCTTGAAATAATCAAATGACTAAATCAATTAAATTATTGAAGAATAAAGGTATGCTTATGTGTTATTTAAGATTAAACTCTCAAATTTGGAAATATTTAGAGTTCTGTTGCTATTTATTTTTGTTTTTAGTATTTAGGAGATATGTAACTTTTAAGCAACCATATCTGTATATTTTCAATTGTGACAACACCACACTTACATTAAAAAGATGTTATTTGCTGGCATTGAAGTATAGATAAGCAAACTACTATTATTTATTGAAAAGTCACTAATTACTGATGTATGAAATCATTGGCATGGTTCATTTTAAATGTCTTACTCTATTTTGCATGCTATAACAGAATGTCTGAGACTGGATAATTTATAAAGAACAGAAATATATTTTTTCAAAGTCTGGAGGCTGGAAAATTCAAGATCAAGTTGCCATCATCTGTCCAGGACCTTCCTGCGCTTCTTCACATAGAAGACAGAAGGGTCAAGAAAGGGACTCTGTGCCTGCACGTGGCAGAGGAGCAGAAAAAAGACTCATTCCCAATCTCCCTTTTTTATAATGTCATTAATCCATTCATGATGGTGAAGGCCTTATGACCTAAACACCTCTTACAGGCCCCATTGCCCAAGCCTGTAGGTTGGTGACTAAATTTTTAACACGTGAATTTTGGAGGCCACAAAATATTTAAGATATAGCATCAAAGTGTTCTGTAATTCAACTTATTCAACTGTCTCAATTTATCTAAGAAGAAACTGAAAATGAGAAAGATGAATTGACTTGCCTATGTTAGTCTTAGAAAGCTACTGAAGGAGTCACATTTTTGTCTCAGATATATCATAGGTAGTACCAATTTATAATCTAATTTTTTTGTTCCAAGTATTACACTGTGAGACCCTTGATGAAAATACTAACACATGGTTTCTCTTCTCTTCCGGCAGCAATGTTGGATGTGACCATTTGGTGTGGAATCAGCATACTTAATTCTATTTGCAGTATGATATGGTTGTGTGAGGCTAGTTTCTTCCTCTTTACAGTAGAAGTCTATTCTATGCAGAAAAAAACAAGAATATATTTTCACTGTTTTCTTTTCTTAGGTTGATACTATATATTTTGAAGAACTCCTTTATTTAGTATATATCCCCTTAAGCATAATTGTAGAGCAGTATGCCTTCCTTTCTCATCTTTCTGCCCCACTCCCTCTTACATTTGTATTTTCTTCTGTGTAGCTGCCAGGGCTTTCATGCTTGTTCTTTAAGCCCTTGTTCATAATTTTTATTTCTCTTAATTATATTGAAAATAATATTTTAAAGAAAATTTACTAAGTTTTCAGAGAAATGAAGTTAACTCTCTGCACTTCTATTATTCCTATAACCTGTTACAAGATATGTACTGAGTTAAAATATTGAGTGTAATTCCAAAGCATTCCTTCAATAT
Source organism: Homo sapiens (assembly GCF_000001405.40). NCBI lineage: Eukaryota > Metazoa > Chordata > Mammalia > Primates > Hominidae > Homo > Homo sapiens. The sequence continues at coordinate 81,579,643 of NC_000013.11, forward strand.
ATTACAATAACAATGTATTATAAATAGAAAGATTTTGGCTTTTTACAATGGAGAATTATTTTAAAAGTTCAGGTTTGTCATAAATCACCAGTTATAAAATACTATTTCTTTTGTTCCATATTGTTTGGGCCTTAGCCATCCTAACCTCAGGTCCTGGTTAAGATGCACAGTACTCCAGTCGGAATGACAGATTCTTTAATTATGCTGTGGCAGTGGTTTCTTCGCAGTGGAGTTGGACTGCCCCAGTAAGACTCTAAATGTAGTAAATGAACTGGTTTGTTTGCTTGCAGCCAAAAACTGTTTTCAGCTGATAAGTTTGATTGCTGTCTTTTAGTCAATGCAAAATCGCTGCAGGGAAATTGCTATAGTCTTCTTTTTAGACCCTAAGCTTGCTTTGCAAAGCTCTGAGAAGACTAAATAAAGTAAAAGACTTTGGAGTAACTTTAAAGTGAAAAGAAAATGATTTAGGGTAATGTAAATAATATATTATGTGGCCAGAACAAAAAATGATCGACTAATTAAGCTCCATAAAAGAGGAAAGTCATCTCTCAGAAGCAATCAACTTTAGTTAAATATGTGAAAAAATAGGTGACCGTTGTTATAGCACATTTAAATTATTTTATTACTCTAACTCTAAAATTTTGTAATGACCTCTTTATTTTTTATAAATAAAACTAAAATGATCATAGCTTTTTTCTCAATCTAAACAAAACAGTCCTTTTAAACTTGTAATGCAGAATTTGATCATTCTTTACTAGAAATAATGTTACTGTAAAATGGTTCAAACCATCTGCAGTTACGTGAATTATCCCAATAGCATTCAAGGTAGGAATAGCTAATTATAAGACTGATGAATAATAAGTAAATAGCTGTTTACTCACTATGTTATAAGAGTTTTCAATATTCAGAGCTGTGTTTATCAAAGAATAAAGGAGAGAAATAAAGGTCAAGACAACATTTAAAACTCATCTGAACAGACTATAAATGTGTGTGTATGTGTATGTGTATATATATATATATATATATATATATATATATATATATATATATATATAAAATTTTTTTCAATTTTTGGTTACCTCTAAGAATAGCTGTAAATACTACAAATTATACCTTCTCAAACACAGTATTTTAGTATGCTTTTGAGTTTTAGAAATCTGAAGCAAGGATAATAGTGATATTAGTCTATTTTCACCATATTATACAGAATGTTTTCAATCTGGAAATTCCCTTTCTTGTCCAGGACATTAGAGCATAAAAAAGAAATAGGTAACCCTCCAAAAAAGTAACTGAATGGTACATGGATACATTCTAGAAAAAGGTGGCATTTGAAGGACTAGGGAGAGCCATTTGAGGTTTTATTGGGAACAAATAAGGGAGATGGTAAGTGGAACTATTGTTGACTTCCTGTAGTAATTGAAAGGTGAAGGAAACTGATACATTCAGTGAAAGAATAAAACCAGCTTTTCTTTATCTGTGAATGGAGGTTATGAATGAGAGCAGAGAACACAAAATATAACTGAAAATGGCCAGCCAAAAGCATTTTTGCACTTTGGTAGCAAAAAAAAAAAACCAACCAAAAAACAAAAACAAAAAAAACCTGTAGTGAAAAATGTAGTTTATTTAAGTAATTGCTTCCAAAGGAAGCACTGCTTTCAGAAGAATATTGCAGCTTGAAGAAGGAGCTAGAGTATTTCTCAAGTTTTATGTATAATTTACATTTTTTGTCAAATAAATATTAATATAAATGTTTTTATTGAGAATATTTTTAAAAATTACTAATATGCTTTTACTTTTTGCATTTATAAGCATAAAATGTACACACTAGTCCACTAAAGATATTTATGTGATAGTAGAAATATTGGTATTTGTATTCTGTTTTCAAACTGCTACAAAGATACTACCTGAGACTGGGTAATTTATAGACAAAAGAGGTTTAATTTATTTACAGTTCTGCATGGCTAGGGAGGCCTCAGGAAACTTCCAATCATGGCAGAAGGCAAAGGGGAAACAAGCACCTTTCTCATAAGGCAGCAAGAGTGTGAGAGAGGGCACAGGGGAAACTGCCACTTTTAAACCATCAAGATTTGTGAGAACTCCCTCACTATCATGAGAACAGCATGGGGGAAATGGGCCCCGTGATCTAATCACCTCCCATGAGGTCCCTCCCTCAATATGTGGAGATTACAATTGGAGATGAGATTCGGGTAGGGAAACAGAGTCAAATCACATCAGTTTCTATTGGTTACAAAAGAAACTACAAGGTAAGACTATGATAATAATGACTTACACAATGGAATTATAGATTTAGACAGCAGCATTTAGATTCAGGGATTTGGTAGAGAGATCATTTTTCCATATTATCATTTCCTCCTTTTAAGCAAATCCGGATTCAAGGCAGAAAGGACCAACTCATAATGTTCTCCTGCAATGTGTTGAATAAAACTTTTAACATCTGTGACAATTCTGTGAAGGCTATAACAAAGATGTATACAAAATAAGAGATATTTAAAAATCCTACTTTTAGGCATAGAGGATTATAAGAAGGAAAGCAAAGAATGAGATCTGGATTTTTTTTATTCTAGACTTTGACTCATTGATGAGGAAGTCTTTTAGTAAGTGAGGTTGACACTGGGGGTGGACTGAGGATCAGACCCTTACATTAGAGACAATGGGAAAAGGTTGCTTTGCAGGGTATTCCATACTAAATCGAGGTTGGGTCATATCAAAGTACATCTGGCAGGGCTTAGCTTAATGATCAAGCAGAGGACAGTTTTTGAGGTTTTAATTTTGCCTTTCCTTCTTGTGTACCAATGACATGATCCAGATATTGCTGACACTGTGCCTAAGGAGTTTGCCTTAGAAAGCTGGTTCTATAATGTGCCTGCAGAGCAGACTTTCAGAGCTGTGCCAAAATGGTACCCAGACCCCAGAGGGAACATAGGATTGGCAGGAACAAGAGATGGACACTAAGCCAGGGAGCAAAGAGCACCATATGCTCATGTTTTAGACAAGAGAGATTTAGAGGACAAATAGCTTTCACATGGAAAAAAGATAGCATCCCAGAAGATGGAGGTCATTATGCCCAAAACCTTCCACCTTCCTTCTTTCAAACATATAGGCACCTTCTTGAACAAAGAAGCAGGGATCGTGCTTCCTCACGGAGGACTGAGAATTTTCTCTAGGACAAATAGAAATTAAAGTTTAAATTATTGCATCAGAATACAGTTTAAATTAGATTATGAGTGTATGTTGGAGTGTGTGCTGTCATTGAGAAAGCTCAAGGTAGGTCAAAAGCAATTACAATTTTCTAGATAAAGAAATTGTTGTGCTGGTTAAAATCTGTGACTGTGCTATACACTTAGATGGTTTTTAAAATAAGAGTGAAGAGAACATTAATTAGGTGTGAATAATATCCCCACATCTAAAACGTGGGAAAGAAATAAGTTCTAGATCTTTAGGCCAGCACCAGACACAGACTACAATGCAGACCATCTACAAATGCTAAGTGATATACATCATTTTTATACTATAAATCCTCTTTTGTTGCATAACACAATCTATGTATATTTGCCATTTATTCTAAATTTTATTTTTGCATTATTTTCAAATACATTTTTCTTCTCTTATATTTGCTTCACATTTTTACCCCCATGATTTGAAACTCTGTTTTCTACTTCTAAACTATATTAATACCTGTATTGCAGTATATGCTATGAAGAGACATTTTAAATGGCTTTTCAGTTATTACTTATGTTTCTCAAAATCTTATTAAAATTATTTCATAAAAAGATAGATTATTTGGGGAGCCCCAGATTTAATGAATTAGAGTAAAGGAGAAGTTGCCAGTTATGTGTTCTATTACTTTTATTAGTTATTTTTATTTTAAATTGGTGCCTCTTATGATTCTTATTATTAGGTTGACTTGGGAAGTTCTTTGCCAAAAAAAAAAAAAAAAAAAGGAATATATCTGTTAATTTCTCCCTAAACATTCTTCACATACTGATCAGTGTAAGCAGTTTTAAAATAATTATTAGTTTTTCTGGATAAAGAGAGTGCTATATTTTTTAAGCTTCTTCCATGGGATGCAATACTTTCCCTGGTTACAAGTTTTGGACAAATCTTTTTGTCTTGGAAACCTAACAGTCATTGGTTTACAGGTGGCAAAGTGTTAGGCATCAAGTGGTGAGAAAAATTCCAAAGTGACTTACGAAGAGTCAGGATGTCCTCTTGGTAAAGCCAGTCCATGTTTATCTTCCTGTCTTTATCCTTTCGTGAGACATGAGGGCACAAGTCTGTAAGCGCTGATCCAAACTGCTTTATTTAAGCTCACGCCTTAATCTTATAAGTGCCATAAATAAGCACACAGAGCTGGAGGTTTATTTCAGAGAATTACTACCTAATAAATACTACCCCAGATATGGTTATGTAATGCTATTAGAAAACAGGCACTGAAACTTGAGTTTAGGCCATCTTACAAACGGACCTCGTGGCATCTGTAATAAACTACTCTAAATAAGATCTAGTGATTTATATCTTATTCTGAAATTCACTTCAAGAAAAATTATTCTTATGAGGCTGCTAGTAAATCTCTCAACACTTTTTAAATTTACTAAACAGTTCTTTTTATTTTCAGTCAGTGTTCTAAGCATTTACCATGCCATTTATGTCAATAAGAGCTGAATTAAAAATTAACAGTTTGATCTTAGTTTATGGAGACTATATTTTCTTCTCTGACTATGCTCACTGATGGAATGATGGAGAAGGAACAACAGTAGTTCAGGAGTGTGAAGCTCCATGCAGTTTATAGGCTGATACTCTTATGGGAGACTATAAATTCCTTACTTATATGCAAGCTTTTATAGAGATGCAAAAATATGTTCCTTCTACTTAAGAAATGTCAATTTGTAGAAGAAGTTCAGAAGTCAGGATATCCTGTTATAAAGCTCCTATTTAGAAGTTTAGGGAGAGCTGTTCTTCTAAATCATATTATAGTTTTATGATTATGTTGTTTACCATCTAGTTTGTTAATAATATAAAACAAAATACCAATCATTTATGAAATGATACAACATTTGACATGGTCCTTATTATGTCCAAAAAATATTTTATCTTTATTCTTTAACATTATATTCTCACAGAAAGTTAAGTGTTATCATCATTGTTTCAAATCCTCTCTGATGTCTATGCCATCACAAAAAACATTCAGAATAATAACTGGGATACTTATCTGATTGCCACTACCATTCTCACTCGCTCACTCCACCATCTAAAGATGCCTTGAGTCCAGCATCTAAAAAAACCTGACTGCTCTCTGCCTTTAGAAGCTGGATTTATAATCTATTCCAAACATTAATCTTTAAAACAATTTTATTTATAAAGAAATTCCTCTCAATAATCCTGAATGCTTGTACCATTCAGCAAATATCCTCTGCTACCATGTTTCATCAGATGGTTGAACTAGACCTTTGACAACAGAAACCTGCTGGAAAAAACCTACATAGATAAGCTTTCCTAAGTTGTTTAATGATAAACTTTTTTCTATTGAACAAAAGTTTAAAATCTGAGGCAGATGATAACTGTACTTAACAGTTATAAAATTAAATTAAAAAGCCCTTCCTTTAAGGCTAACTCCATTGGTTCATTCATAAATCACACCGAGATTGTAATAATAGTAATGCTTTGAGGACAACATACATGCATTTATTTAGGAAACACACATTTTACGTATACTTTGTATTCATTAGTTCCAAGAATATATAAAAATTAGAGTTAAATATGATTTAACTGTTTTTTAAATGGTTTATAAAAATATAAATGTCTTTCCAATATTCATAGTAACTATGCTTATTAAGTTATAAAATACCTTCTTTATTCATTCATCCATGGATGCACATTTAGTTTGTTTCGACATCTTAACTATTGTGAATAATGCTGCAGTGAACATGGGAGTGTAAATATCTATTTGAGATCCTGGTTCCTATTCTTTTGGATAAATATTCAGAAGTGAGATGAGGGGATCATATTGTAGTACTATATTTAATTTTGGGGGAAACATGTACTGTTTTTCATAGTGGCTGCACTGTTTTGCATTGTTCACAGTGTACAAGGGTTCTAATTGTTCTACTTCTTCATCAATACTTTTGTGTTTATGATAATATTCATACTAACAGGGATGACAGGGTTTCTCATTGTAGAATATTATTAAGCCTTGAAAAGGAAATAAATCCTATCATATGAACCTTGAGGATATTGAGCTAAGTGAAATAAGAAAGTCACAAAAGGAAATATACTGCATCATTCCACTTACAAGAGGTATCTAAAATAGTCAAATTTATAGTAGCAAAGAGTAAAGTAGTGATGTTTCAGGGTATTAGGGGAGGAGAACATAAGGAATAGCTAATGGGTATAAATTTTACTTACTAAAGATGAATAAGTTCTACAGCTCTGCTGTGCAACATCGTGCTCATTGTTAACAATACTGTATTATACACTTAAAGCCTTTGTTAAGAAGGTAGATCTCATGTGTTCTTACCACAGTTGAAAAGAAATCAAAGTGCATGTAGTGTTGTATCTAATATTTCTTAGGCAAAGAAATTATTGGCCAGGTGCGGTGGCTCAAGCCTGTATTTCTAGCACTTTGGGAGGCCAAGGTGGGTGGACTGCTTGAGCCCAGGAGTTCGAGACCAGCCTTGGCAACACAGTGAAACCTCGTCTCTACTAAAAATGCAAAAATTAGCCAGTCTCATAACTTGGTCTCCAAATAAATAGACTAAAATTTTAAAAAGAAATTAACATTATTTCATGAGAATTATGTAATAAATAATTTGAACTTGGTATAAATCCAAATTTAGATTATTGTATAATTATGAAACAAATTGGATTTTAAAAGGAAATAAAAACTCAACTTTTTTATGTAAAATATTTCAAAAACTGATTCATCTCACAAAATCATTATTTTATGAGCATATTTATGGAGAGTGGAGTATACACCTAAGTTTAATCTTTGAAACTATTGTGTGTCTTCATATTGTTTACTCATATGTGAAACATAACCTGTCTAACTAATGATGTACCAAACCTGAGCCCCAAGTTATCCTCTCAATTAATGGGCACATACTCATAGCTCTCAGCTGCTATTCTTTTCCCCTGACTTTTTCTGCACATAACTATCTTCATCCTGTCTCTTGGTCTTCCTGGCAACTAAACAGAATCTTTCTTATTTTTCCCTAAACTGTATATTATTCACTGCATGTTCTTTAAAAATTGTATACCTGGAAAATCACATGAAAAAAATTAGATTGTTTTAGGTCTAGAGTAATACTTCCATTTATCCCAGAAGCAATTTCAGTTGACAAAGTAAACACCTATGTTCTAGGAATGCAATGAACTGATTTAACAGGAGTGATTATGTCTGAACACCTAAGTCCTATTTCAGGTTTTTTCCTCATCAAATTGCATAACATCTCTGTGCCTCTAATACTTTAGCTACACAGCAACCCTATATAGGAATGTATTTTCCAATTATAAGAAATAATTTTAGGTAATTTCAATCTAGTAACTTAAGGATATATGTGTTGATATTTAACAATCATTTCTATGGGGATAGTTAATAATTATTTAGATTCTGTGGTAGTAAATCTTTCCATAAGAGAGTGACAAAGGATGAAGCTAGCAGGTGTGAGCCTCTTTCAATTAGGATTTGATTGCTATTGAAGGTACTTTAGAATCAGGAAACTGAGTTTTATATCTGTGTACTTTCTTATATAATGAAACTAATTATTCTAAAAATAATTGAGCTGACATTTCTGTGGTAATACCATCAAACCCGAGTGTCATAATCTTTGAAAAGAGAAGGTTGAAGTTTAAATGATTATTTCTTATTTATAGTGCAATAATTTGGCAGAGCCTGGAAATTACTTTGTAGGATTAGAATAGATGTTAGTCAAATACAAACAAGATTTGAGAGAAATAATTGGAGTTTAGGATGCAGGTCTAATTAAAGAGTACTTAAGAACTTGCATAATCCATTTATTTGTGTAGAAAATACGCAGTAACCTTTAAGGAAGTTTTGATAGCAAATATACGCCATTCAGAAGGGCTTGTTGGGTATTCCAGATACACTCAACAATTACCTAAGGAAAACACATGTATTATATTCATTTCTTTCCAAAGGTGGAGCCTAATAGGGGATCATGTATGCATGATGCCAATCATGGCAGTTAGACATATACAAAAATGTAGGCTAGAAAGTGTTTTTTCTCAAAGTATGGTCAATAGACAACCCAATTATGAATAATATTGGGTGCGGTGCTTATCTAAAAATAAGATTTATGAATCATCAGAATGTAAGTAGAGTCTGGGATCAAAATTTTATTTCTCAAGGACTTCAGAGATTCCTAAGAATATTAAAATTTGAGAATTGCAGATTAAAGAGACAACAAACATTTGAAGTTATCTGACTACAAAGATAAGTAATGCCTGTTATATAAAAGTTATACAAACTTTGGTCTTTTTTTTACTTATAAATAAAATGAGGTACCTAACAATGTAGACTCATCTCTCTCATACGGATTTTTGATGAACAAGGAGAAAATACATTTTAAACTGTTAACTGACATACAATGTTATTTGTTGTTTGAATTTGTTTTTAAGATTACCAGTGGAATACAGCAAAAAAGTAATTTGTTTAACCAACAAAATGAAAATATTTGTAGTATGTATAGCTTCTTCCAGCATCTAGTGCATGATATCATTGATACCATAATAGTGAATGCTTTTGTTGGTAAAATATTTTCTAACATTTCTACAATATCTTTCATATATTATCATTCAACAACAACAATATTGACTCTTTAGTAAATGATGAGACTAGAAATTAGTAATAATTATCTCATATACATGCCCTTTAATAATAAATTATTGATGATTTTATTTGCTTTTTCCTTGATATCTAACTACTAGGTCAGAACATTTTAACTCAGAGTAATAACTTACACCTTCTCTACAGCAATGTTTTTCAGATTATATGCATATGATATCTAAAAGCAAATATAGATATTACAGTAACAATGCAAAGTAGGTTTACGTCTATTGTTATGGTAATGACTCCTTTACTTTTAAGCCATTGGGTGTGATGGTAGTACATATGCATTGATTTATTGATTCATTTGAAAAGCACATCTTTTCAGTCACTCTCAGATTGCTTTAAATACATTAACCCATCTAGTCCTCATTAAAGTATTTAACTAAGGAGAATACCCCAACTTCTTTTCTGATCAGTGGTATAAATTATAATTTGTTATTTCAATTAAGGAAAATACCCATTGTTTCTCGGAGACGATATTTTGTGATATTACTTTCTTTTCTTTAGGAAAAATGTTATCACTGTTGTTTTCCACCATCTTTACTAATGTGAGTGCATTGATTTCATCAAAGATGCAAGGTAATTTTGAATAATAACAATGACTAGTTTTAGAGTGGAAGGCTGATGAATCTCCCATGTCAATATAATAATACTATTAATTTAACCCTTGCTTTAACCTACATTACACATACAAATATACACATATTTATATTTTCATTCAAACGGATCAACTTTGTATTATTTTATATTATAGGTAAGAAATTAAGGCTTAGAGACACTAACATTTCAAAAGTCACACAAGTTAATTGGCAAAACTGTATTTCTAAGTCAAGAATTATTGACCTTTATATCCTATTTTATCCAATATGTTTACAATTTTAATATTTCAAATTATGACAGAATTTTAATCATTAATATATAAAGAAGCAGAATAAAATAACTGAGCTCAAATATTTGAAAAGTAAGAAACACACCTCTAAATAATGCATGCATTAAAGAATGAAACTTTAAAATGATATTTTAAAGGAACTTAAAAAATTCAAAATGAATGTTAACAAACATACCATTGTTGGGGAAATAAAATTAAAAATAAAATCTTCCAATATAGAAAAATTCTCCACAAAGGTAGAAAAGAAAAAAAATAGTTTAACTATTGAATAAGTACTAATGATGCATATCACAGACAATCCACCAAAAAGATTGCAAAATCATAAAGAAATTTCACCCTTTTATGTAGCCAATCAAATACAGCCCATTACATATGTGTTCTCAAGATAAAAAATATGCAGTCCTCAAGTAAGAGCATGTGTAACATGATTTGTCACACATATTTATCCTAAATTTACTCAGTAATTAGAGTAGTCATCTGTTAATTGACTTTAAAGAAAAAATAAAATTAGATCTTTATAACAGAAAATGGTTCTACAACTTGGAACAAGGTGCCCGCTGAAGTCATGTGCCTATTCTCTCACAGAAACTTGAAGACAGCACTGTCTTCTTTAATCATGGTATTTCAAGGAGATGGTTTGTAGGTACTTAAAAAAGACATTTTGGGGTCCTAAAGCTGGCAAGAGGCTTATTTAACTTTTAGAAAATTTCACATACATTTCAAAGAGACAAAAGAACTTCCTAAAGTTGGGGGGCGGAATATCTTCCCTTATTTGCACATCAGTAAATTATTATTTTTCTTATGTGATTATATTAGAAGTAGCAAAAACAAGACTCAGGAAATTTTATAGGTTTTAATACTTTGGTATTAGGGAAGAAACAAAAATGTATGAAATAAATGATCTAAAATCTGCTCTAATAGCTAAGGGAAAAAAGAACAAATTTAATCAACTGTAAGAGAGATAAAAAAGGAAAGGCAGGAAGAGAAATCAATAATATAGAAAAGAGGCCAACCATTGGGACAACTAACAGCCAAATGTTAGGTCTTTGCACTGATCAACAAAGTTGAGAAGCCCTGAGCTGAGTGATTTAAAAAAAAAAGGCAAAAAAAAGTCTATACTTACAAATTCTATATATGTTAAGGTAATTACCTATATAAACATATGTATGTGTATATATATATGTATAACTATGTATATGTATAAGCATTATGGCAATAAACTCAAAAACTTTTATTAAACCAATCTCATGAAAAATACAACTTATCTGAACTAATCCAATATGCCAAATAAAAAATTAGTCCTGTATCGATTAAAAGATTGAATTCATTTTCAAAAGCTTTACTTTAAACAGAACTCAAGAACACCAATTCTAAAAAAATTTTGACACCAAAGAGGAAGAAACACTTTCCAACTCATTTTGTAAAGATGAAAAATATATGGTCATTTTAATAGATGCTGGAAGAGCACAGAACAAGTCAATGACTAAAACACAAAGCAAAATAGGAATAGAGAGGAACTTTCTCAGGAAAGGGCCTTTACAAAAGTCTATGGCTAAAGTCTATCCCCAACACTCCACCATAGACCAGAGATTGACTCTTATTAAGCTCTTTCACAAAACTCCTTCATTGACTATTATTCTCTGTGCTCTGTGGATCCACCACCCTCTAGCAGGATCTTGTCTATTATTCTCTGTGTCTAAGTCTGAACTGAAGCTGCACAACTTTCATAGTCCACTTCCCAGAAGATTTGTTTTGAGATCAAATGAATTTTGTAGTTTTCTCTGTATTTTCTGAGTAGTTGTGCCTGAGTAACTTTAAATTTGGAAAATGCCACCAAAATAAGTACTGGGCAGAGAGGCAACTGAAGGTGATTCCTGAAGGCTTACTAACAATATGTGTTATAAGCAATGAGAGAACAGTGCAGTCTCACAGATATTAATTTCTCTGGAAATCAAGTTTCTACTTAAAGATCTGCCAAGACTGTGTACCACTGTCAAAAAGGATTTCATTCTATTTGAAACAAAAGATATATATTGCTCCTTATATTTAAGGACTTGAAAATGAATACAATTGTGTATGAAAGTTTCAACTATGTGTGTAAGTTCAATAACTTTCTCTACATTAATAAGTGTTATCTATATACTGGGGATTAAATATCTCAAAAAGCAACACATACATTTGTAGTATTAAAATACCTAATAGAAGAAAAGTTGAGTTTTATTGTAGTTGCACTTGTCTCTTAGAGATTGAATGTGCAAATGGACAAGGAGAGCAGCCAGACCACATATAAAAATAAAACTCTGACCCACAGAATTTTGTCCAACAGTCTGCAGACCGGAAAGCCAAACCTCAAACTCTGTAGCACTGCAGCACTTGAAATGGTCACGACTAAATTGATACCTGCCAGCTTTGTTATTTTTTCTCGCCTTTTTACTCCCACTTCCAACTTTGGATCAACCAGAGAAAGCCAAGTGTGTGCCCCCAACCAATCAGATAGGATGCCCCACTTCTAGTTAGTCCATCTACAGCTTCCCCTTGCTAACAACCTCCTATCAGGTCATACTAAAACTTTCCTCTTTTTTCTCTGTAAAGCTTTTACACCTACCTGCCTGTGTTTGAACTACTGCCAAATGCAAGTGATGGTGCATGGCTCTTTGTCACCCATGGCAAGTTCTGCATAAATTGCCTTTGCTTGTTCTCATTTCAGTGGTCTTCACTTATTTCTACATCTTTCAACTGAAGAAAAATATGCCACCCTATTCTAACCTGGTAGATATATGTTTCAATGAGCCACTTAACTTATTTTCTATTAAAATTAAACATTTTAGAAATGATGGGAGCATAAATGATATAATTAAATTAGTCAATTGGACATGTTTATGAGATTAGTGCAGGATGGCTGGAATTATTTATAATGACTTGTGGTTTTACTTAAATTGGCAGAAAACTCATTTCAATATTAATTCATTATTTATTCAATTACCTCAACATTAATTTGCTCAGGTGGGCAGAAACTTCATTTTTGCATTTATTTCATTTATATTGATTAAAATGTATAAATATTCTAAAACTGGTTTTCCAGAAATAAGTTTCAATAGTATAATGAGATTTGTATTTAAATACACATGAAAAAACATTTTATCTATTTATATTTGCAAGGCACCCTGTACTGGATTTGAAACTATTTTAAATTCAGATACTTGTTTTCTTTTCTATCTTAACATTCACACCATGCTTTTCTTTTCTAGCTTAATATTCACACCAGACTTATTGCCTTTGGAGGAAGTCCTGAGACTTAGGAACTGACTAAAAACCTCTCTTGAGGTATGTGATGGACTAGAAATCGGAAATCCCATGATAGAGAAACTGTCATCTATTTAAGGAGACTAAGAGAGTAGTAGATTAGGTCCAACAGTTGAGGAGAAGAAATTCAGATTCAGGACAAGAGTGGTGTTCCACTGGGAAGAGGTTATAAATCGCAGAGTAAACCTGGGCTGAGTTATTTTCACATCAGTTTAGGCTTATGGAAAAATATAAAGTGGAAGCCACTAACCATCCCTAAAACAGTCTGTAACAGACTCAGATTTTGGGGCTTCCAGTCCTGTATAAAATTGGTCCCACCTTCAGTTTCCAAAATGATTTTGTTAAAATCCTGCAAATCCGTGATTTTTAAGTGTGAATTTTTTATGATCCCTTTCCAATTGTATGAGTTGATTCGGAATGTCTGATTTTAGAATCATATCAGCTCCCAGTTTTCCAAAGTACCTATTTCAACTCTTAAGCCATTCTTGTCCTTTGAATTTTTAAAATATTCCTCCTCATTAAATCATATACTTGAAATGGTATTCTTTACATTCAGTGCAGACTAAGGTCGCATATTTAAATTGCCATGAAATAAACTTCTCCTAGAAAATAATTCTTGCTTCATTTATAAGAAAGAAAATGAAAGAAAGAAAAAGCTTTTCCTAAAAGATTTACAGTGTTAATTTATTTGATTTTAAATAAACAGCTGCTTTTCCAAAATTAATTAACTAGCTTTTCTGAAGGAAAGTCCAAAAAGGTGATTAAGAAACTTCGGGTGATTCAGTCTTCATGACTTAGTTCATTAAACAGCCAAAGGCCTTTGCAGAAAAGCATCATAGTAAGCAAGAAATATGTCTCATAATGTGAGTCTGGTTTATCCTGAGGAGTGTGGATTTTCCCAAGGGCTCCTTTCAAATTGGAGTCGGCTGGCTAAATGAAAGCAAAGCTTAGGAGCAAAAAATAGTAAGAATTTTCATAATGAATTAGAACTCATGAATTTTCTCAGAATTATAGTCAATATGACTTGATTGATATCTATTTGCATATAAAAATATTTTGCTACCATTCCAGTGTGATCAGAAAAGAAGGTCACTGTAACAGTCTTATAGGATTTTCACAGGTTGCATCCATAGTGCCATCTCCTCCACCTCTTTGGAAAATTGTGTTCCAATAAAAGTCCTGCCTTATTGGGCTTGGAGTGTTCTGGACCTTCTCTGGATCATTCCCAAGTCTGCTATAATTCTCTTGTTGCTCCATAGAAAGTTTTTTTTTTTTTTTTTCAATTACTCAGGCTTGCTTGGGTAAATTACTGTGTTATGTCAATGAAAACTTTAGAACTTTTTCAGACAAATCCCACTGCAAGAACATATTTTTCTGCTGATTCCTTCCCTGAGGATAATGTTTCTTTGTAAAGCCAAGCTATTGGTCTACTTTATACAGAGTCTGCTGGTAATAGTCCTGCCAATGTTGGTGATAGGGCCCCTTTCATTTGCATTTCCTTGAAAAATAACCACTTTGGACATTTCTATATCCGATTTTTCTGAAGAACCTGTTTAATTTTTAAACAAGTTTGTCTGTCATTTTATTATTGATTTGCAGGAATTTGTGCTAAGTTCTTGATATAAGCCCCTCTTCAGTTACATGTGTCGCAAACAGCTCTTTGCCTTGCTTCTTCATGCATTTGTTTCTGTCTTTTAATGAAAATAAGTTATCATTCTAATGTATGAAACCAAATGTCAGTCTTTTTCTTTTTCTTAATGTTTATAACTTTCTAAGTTTTATTTAGGATTTCTTTCTTTCTTTCTTTCTTTCTTTGGAGAGACAGAGTCTCTTCACTTTTTTATTATTATACCATGATCAGAGTTTTGAACCTTCAAGGAAGTGCATGAATTCTAGATGTAAAACCCAATGAAGTATTTGCATACTAGCAACTCTCTATTACCAGTATACAGATTGAGAAGAAGTATACTGGGCTTCTGTCCCACCTGGTTCTTCCTCCCACTGACTAACCAAACTATGCTAACTTCTAACTCACATATCAATTCTGTTTTGGGATTTTGTGTAAACTGAACCACATAGGATGCATCCTTTTGTGTCTGCCTTTTTTCTTCTCTCTCAAAACTATTTTCTGGGGTTCCTCACCATTGGCTCATAAAGTTGCAATTTTTACAAGTACAGAAGTATTATGTGGTTAATACACCATAGTTTATTATATTTTCTTTTTCTTTTTTTTTTTTAAGATGGAATCTCGCACTGTCACCTGGGTTGGAGTGCAGTGGCACGATCTCGGGTCACTGCAACTTCCGCCTCCCAGGTTCAAGGATTCTCCTGCCTCAGTCTCCCAAGTAGCTTGGATTACAGGTGCCTGACACCATGCCTAACTATTTTTTTTTGTATTTTTAGTAGAGACAGGGTTCCACTATGTTGGCCAGGCTGGTCTCAAACTCCTGACCTAGTGATCCACTGGCCTTGGCCTCCCAAAGTACTAGGATTACAGGTGTGAACCTCCGGGCCTGGCTAGTTTATTATCTTTTCTATTGTTGATGGTCATTTGAGCAATTTCCAGTTTGGGGATTATTATAAATAATACTATTACTATAAATACTATTGGGTGGCATTGATAGTTGGCCTGATGCTTAGAATTCTATTGATGGTATCTTCATTGAATGAAGTCCTTTTCCCCAGATTAATCAAAGTGGATAATGGATCAGCATATTCATTGAAAAATCTTTCAGAAAACATGATGATGCAAACAGAGTTATGTATTGTTAGTGAGCAATTCTCCATAGTATTTCTACATATCTTGGAGTAGATTTTGTTTCAGACTATATATTCAAAGAGATTTACATAGTAAATAAACTTGAAAGAGAAAGATAGTATCTCACACTGGGACAAAAGAATGATTTGTTTTCTGTTCAGAAAAATAAAGATAACATATCCTTCCTGAGAAAAAGTTAGGTAGGTTTGCTTGCAGCTTCCTTATGAGACTGGAGATTTTCTAATCTTGGGGTTCTTCAGTTTTGTGGAACAAACAAGTTGTATGTGCAGCATCTGCCTGGGCCCAATGTGAGCCTCATCCCCATGGAATTTGTGGGGTATATAGAGGGAGACAAATTAGATATGAACATCATGTTCATGCTGCTGTCATGCTCTCTATAGGAGCTATTTGTCTGATTCAGGAATGTTGTGCTTTCTGATAGCATCGATGACATTCTGGAAGACTAATTTGTTAACTTGTAAGCACAGTGTAATCTCAGATTTTTCACAATTTTTGACATGTATCTCTGTGTTTCATTTCAAATATTTCTTTTTCTGGCTTACCTTCTAGTTTAATAATTCTTTTTCACTGGCATCTGATTTTATCTTAATGTATTTACTGAGTTTTTGATTTCATTTATTATAATTTTTAGTGTTACATATTACACTTATTTTCTTATTATACTTTCTGGTCTTCTGACAATACTGCCATTTATTGTCAATAAATTCTTCTTAAACATACATTGCTTAGTCTGTGACTGACAACTCTATTATCTGTGTCTTCTATAGGTCAGTGTCTCTTTCCAGTTGCTACTGTTTGCTTTCATTCACATTTTATTCTTCATGCTCCTTTTGATTGAGCATTTGCCATATTATACTACACTTTATGAAAACAATTTGAGGCTCTGTATTATGTAATCTTCATTTAGAGAGTATTTATCTTCTTCTGGTAGTACATTAACCAATGATTGTAACTTTATCTTGCTTCTGGCAAAGTTACGAAATTGAGACAATCTGAAGCTGCCTTCAGTTTTGGTGAAAATCTTGTTTCTTTCCAGTTAACTTTTATTGCTTCATTATAGCTGTTTGTGGGCCCTTTTCCAAGTCCTGTGGATTTTTCAGGTGGTTTTGAAATCCAAGTTTGTCCCTCTAGGTCCGTGAGTCTGCAGAAAGCTTTGTTCAGCTTCTCAAACTCTCAGCTGTTGTGTCCAACATCATTAAAGTCTTCTACAAGAGAAAATATCCCAAATGTCCATTTTATCTATTTAGTCTTCTCTCTTTGCCCAGACTCTGATTTCACAGTTTCTCACTACATTGTTCTTCTCTGATGCATTTTCACTTGGTTCTCTATAAAATCTTATTCCAAATCATCTAGTTAATTATTACTGAAAGCATATATCCACTGACTTTTTAAAAACCAACTTATTTATCTCACTTTAATTTTTCTTAAAGATGAAATATTCTTAATAGACCCTCAGTCTGTCAATAATATAAGTTTATTTTGATTATATTCCATCTGTCCTAAAGTTACATCTCATCATGTTTGAGTCCTAGTGCACATAGTATGTGTTTCCAAGCAGGAAATACTGCTTTATATTAATTATGAAACATTATGTGTGTGTATGCATATGTATATGTGTGTATATATATATATATATATATAAATATGTAAATAATATATAAATATAAGTGTGGTATATATATTTAAGAGAGGACCCTAAAATAATAGCAGTTCCTTCTCAGTATCAAAATAGTCCATTAAAAGCAATTGCATGTCCTTGTTTGGTCTGAAATGAAAGCTGAGAAGTCTTGCAGAATGGTAGTACATTAACCAATGATTGTAGCTTTTGTTGTAGCTTTTGTTTAACTTTTGTTTTGTTTCAGAGCAAATCAGTTCATTTCCTGTGAACACTATCGATGTGGCAATGTTTTTGCCTTTATCCTAATAAACACAGAACATCACAATCAGTTTTCCTTTACCTAGTAGACTATACATTCAACATTTTTCCTGGGCTAGGTTATTTCTCAAACTTGTTATCACTTCTTATTTTTAGGGATCTTTAATGTCTTCCCATTCCGATGGACCCATTGTATGCATCATGCTGACTTGACTTCAAATTAATAAAAAATCTAAATAATATGGTAATACATTTGGCAGAGACAAAGACACATATCCCAAAGAAAAAGTAAAACTTTCATTTTAGGGAAGCATATATGATTCCTGCACATCATGGAAAAAATAAATTGCTCTACCTTTTGCTTACCACCACCAAAAACAGAAAAAACAAAAACAAGAGATTTGGCTCAGTCTGTTTACTTTGTGATCTGAAAGGCAGCCAAAATTAAATGAGACTCATGGCACGGCAAGAGAATTTTCTGCAGTTAACCCTTCATGACAAATAAGTTCTTCTGCCACTTGACTCTTTGAAACAGAAAATCTAGTATCACTCAAGCATTTGTGATATTTCAGAATGTTCTACGGAGGCTACAATAACCCACAATTTGAAAGCATAGTAGAAACTTTCTAGTTTTGAAGCAAGACTGTCACCTTTCTTATATAACCATTATCATTTTCAGACATAGCTTTTAGATTGGTGATAGGCCATGGAAGAGTCCAACAGCTGAAACCATGAATGGCACTATAGTTTGGTTTCATTGACCCATTTGAAGCTCATGTTGAAATTTGAGCCCCGGTATTGGATATAGGGCCTAATGGGAGGTATTTGGATTATAGGGCAGATCCCTCATAAATGGTTTGGTGCTGTCCTCAAGATAATGAGTGAGTTCTCACTCTGTCCTCACAAAAGCTGGTAGATAAAAACAGCCTGGCACTCCCCTGTCCCTGTCTCCTCTATTGCCTTGTGATCTCTGTACATGCTGGCATCCCTTCCCCTTCCACCGTGAGTGGCAACCGTTTGAGGCCCTTACCAGATGCAGATGTTTGTGCTATGATTTTTGTACAGCCTGCAGAACCATGAGCCAAATAAACATCTTTTCTTTATAAATTGCTCAACCTCAGGTATTCTTTTATAGCAACACAAATGGACTAATACGAATGGTTACCAATTTTCATATGATGCTAAATGTTCTTTATGAATTTTGTTGAATTGACATAGCTTTGGGTGCACATCATAGATTGAGTCATTAACCTCCCACTGTAATTATCCAACTTTGTAACCTCCCCTTTCTCAATTAACAATTTTTCTATAAGGAGATTTCCTTGATAATTTGAAACAATATAACATTTTATAGATGAGTTTACCTTATATACCAATAAAATAATGAAAAATGAACTGTGATAGCAGTATAGTCTTCTCAGGGGTGGTTCTGAAGGCCATGAGAACAAGCAATGTTTTGCCAGAGATATTTTTTAGAGTAGTACATATTATGGCCCATTTTGCTTGGAAAAAAATGGTATGAGATAGGGGTATCTTACAATTCATAGTACAAGTAATCAATTTTGTTGGATGGTCAAGGAAGTGAAAAAAATTATTAAACAATGAGGAAGATTATTTTAGAGAGATATTGTATAATGGTCCCTTCTATAAACGTATTTGTGTCACATATGAATGCTCAACAAAAAAGCCATTATGACAGAAGAAACTTTAATAATCAACATGGCAAGATTAGTTAAGCTAAGGAAGTAAGTATGTCTCCTTCATCTGCCACTGTAGTATTTTCACAAAGACCTCATAAGGAGATTATTTTGTAAATAGGAGGCTATGCATGAAAATCAATGGCATAGTCTTCCCATAACTAAAGCTATTTTAATGACTGCTGCCACCAAGTGCTCAACTTAGCAGAAGTAAGAAGCCTTAAGCCCCTAATATTGTATTATATCCTTAGAATAACCTTGAAAAAGTTCAATTTTATTTATTCATTTTACCTTGGAGAGAGTAGTAATTTGTGATAACTCAGTTACTCGTTTGGGTTTTAAAAATTCTTTCTCTGCCTTTTTATGCCTCTGCTAGTACTATTATCTATGTACTTAGTAAGTGATGACAAACCACTTTAATCTTTTATAGAGCATTGCTTCTGACAAAGAAATTCATTATACAGGAAAATAAGAAAGGAAGTGGGCCAAAGTCAATGGGGATCACTGGTTTCCCCAGTCAGGCATCAGTTGTAAAAAACACAATGTAAGGTACAAAATATATTCTGCATGGGTCTGGAAGTCCACAAGCAGAAGTAGGGGGTGGTACTTCCCATGGCTACCCTTAAATATCCATTCAAAAAAAAATTGCTTACTATTTCCATGACTATCATCTTGTGCAATTTAGAGATTTTTCTACCTCAGATAGACTTCCCCTATTCCATGATTCCATTGAATTGAAAGCTGAAACAGCAGCTTATCTTCTGTAGTTTCTGCCACCATTTGGGAAAAATGGAAATTTTTATTTTGGTTAGGGTGATTTCCAAAGTTTAGAAGCAAGGAGAGTTCAAATGGAGCCCAAATTCCCTCTGGGAAGACTCTATTATTCTTTTGTATCTAACGGTAGATGTTAGTGGAAGACTATTGCAACAGTATAAAAGCAGAGCCACTGTGGACACAGGTCTTTCAGAAAGGAGAGTTTATGTTACAAAAGAAGACTTAGGATCTGACCACTTGAGCCTTTTGTTGAAGTCATAGGGAAGATGGTATCGTTAACGGAGAAGAAAGGTCATGAATTCCCCCTAAAATTCAGTTGTAAAATGAGAAAATTTATTTTCTAAAATCATTTGTGTTCCTTTATATTTCCGTGTGTGCGTGTGTGTGTGTATATATATATATGTGTGTGTGTATATATATATGTGTGTGCATATATAGTCATATATATAGTGTATATAGATATATATGTATATGTGTATATACATATATATGTGTATATGTGTATATACATATATATGTGTATATGTGTATATACACATATATACATTTATATAATATATACATATATATAGTGTATATATATGTGTGTGTGTGTGTATATATATATATATATATATATATATATATATATATACACGTCTATATATATATAGTCTTTACTACTTCTTTTCCCCAAACCATATATTGAGTGTATCGATTGTGGTTAGCTTTGCAATTTAATTATGTACATGAGACAATATTTAGATAACAACAGGTCAGAACTAGAGAAAAAATGGACAACATCAAGATACGTGGGCCTCAGCATTGTTTGTAATAATGTTGTGGGTTGCCTCCCTTTAGGTCACTTTGTCGCATGTATATGAATTTTACATTGAACAGAGAATAGTTGTTTTACGTTTGTTGGGGCAATTTTTTAGTTTGAAAATTTGTGTATGGGAAGAATTACTCATGTGTATTATTAGAATCAACAGTTGTATTTTTATAAATCAGCATGTGAAGACACTACCTATTTTAATTTCCCATTATGTGATTCTGAATTCTTCTACCTGTACTATGAGAGAAGAAGAGTTCAAATATCATCTCTTTTTATCTCCTCTAGTGTTGAAAATGAGCACATGACCAATAATCACCCATATAAATGCTCCCATTTGCTACTTGGACATTAAAGAAATAGCTGAAAAGTAAATGGCCAGTTGAGAAAATATGTCCAATGGCAGTGGTGTGGAAATTAGAGTAGAAGTGATATTGGTAGCCAGTAAAGTGTGTCCATGGGGAGAATCCCAGACAAAAGAAAAAAAAAAAAAAAGGTCTGTTTCTGTGATACGATATTTGGCAAATTTACATGGCCTAGCTTTCCTTTTTCCTGCTAATTTTCTCTACTTTGTCCCTCTGGTCTTTCTGATGATTCTTTAAGCAGCTAGATATCCTTCCAATAAATTTCTTTTCTGCTTAAGTTAGCTACTGTTAGTTTCTCTCATTCACAAACCAGAAGCCAAACTGCTTTGGAGAATAAAGAATGTGAGTTGCTGCAAAACTAAAGTAAAAGTCAATAT
Source organism: Homo sapiens (assembly GCF_000001405.40). Lineage (NCBI taxonomy): Eukaryota > Metazoa > Chordata > Mammalia > Primates > Hominidae > Homo > Homo sapiens. The sequence continues at coordinate 81,601,380 of NC_000013.11, forward strand.
GTAAAAGTCAAAAACTGATATAATCTCATATTATGCAGCACACATGAATAGAACATAATTTCACAAAGTTAACTACATATCATATATCAAGAAAACAAAAATGTGTGTTCCCCAAAATTTCTATGTTGAAACTCTAATACTCAATGTTATGGTATTTGGAGATACGGCTTTTGGAAGGTAACTACTCCTTAAGAGGTAAGCCCTTGTGAAGGGATTAATACCCTTATATAAAAAAACAGGACAGAGCTTGCTTCTTCTCTCTCTACTATGTGAAGAGACACAGCGGTAAGAGGACACTCAACAGACAGTGGATCTGCCCACCCTTTGACCTTGGACTTCCCAGCTTCTAGAACTGAGAAAAATAAAAGTTTGTTGGTTAGGCTGCCCAGTCTATGCTAATTTGATACATCAGCACAAACTAAGTCATGGGGGAAGAGTACAATTTTAGGAAGAAGGATTTATGTGAAGGACATGGGGGAAGATGTTGGCTTTGGAGTAGATTGAGGAACAAAAGACACAGGAACTTTTGATTACTAACTAGATGTAGAAGGTATAGCAGAAGCGGAGACATATGGTTTAAATTTATGTCAAGACTAAATCAGTGTTTAACAATGTTTTCTGAGTATAAGAATTGCGTGGAGGCCTTATTCAAATTATGGCTACAAGACCCTCCAGATTCTAATATCTCTGGGAGATATTAGAGTTGGGACAGGTCCAAAGATAGCCATAATTTTGCCAAAGTCCTTAGATAATCTCACAATCAAAAACAACTGTGACAATTCTGGACTAAAAATAATTTTGTGTGAATAAGAGTACTAATTATCAACAGATGTCTGAAACTCAGATAATTATGATTTAAAAGATACTTTTGTTTACAACAATAACACAATGATGCTTTTGAAAAAGTTTCATAAAGGAGATTTGAAAAAAATCAAGATTCAGATGTTGTCTCTGGCTCAACAAACTAGAGAGATGTAAGTTATTTCATTATGTTGCTTGTAAGTACCTTGTACTTAAAAGTGCAGAAAGGGAGAGTTGACTGTCTGCAGCTCCCAGAAACAGTCATACATTGCTTTCAAATTCCTGGCAAGAATTCAATCAGAAACATCTGCAAGAATTTAGCACTGAGCCATGTATTTACTGATCTTTCTACCTGTTACTCTAATTACTACACTATAAAATTTTTATTTTTATTCCAACTCCCTCTGATGCTGCTAGAAGATCATAGATCAAACCCAGCATGGGATAGGAGTCTAAGAAAAGTAAAGCAAAGGAAGGAAATAAAGGCAGGAAAATAGAGAAAATGAACTTGGAGGTTATGTGTCATCATGTATGGAATAAAAACAGACTCTCCACATCCTATGGTTTCTGATACTTCCAACATATTAATAAGACTTGTGGAAATTGCATTTAAGTTGATAAAATATTTGGTAGGATAGGATAAGTATTTAGTACCAAATTGCTTTAGTGAACATGTATGTAAAAAGGCGGATGTAAGCTTATTATAACCGCACAGTTCCACATATTTCCTTCACTTCCTGCTTATGTTTCTTAAACAATATTGCAAACAGAAGATAATCCAAAAACTCCCAATATTATATGGTTTTTCCTTAATCTGAATATGTTTGGAACAGCTTGGGTCATATAACCAGTTCCACTGAGGAAGCTGGAAATTCTACACACATATGATTTTGAGGGTCTTACCTTTGGGAGCAGGAATTGACAAAAGAAAAAAGGGAGAGAGAGAGAAATAGTTGTGAGAGATGTCGATACTCCAAATGGTAATTATAGCTCATAATTCTACGTATTTATCTCCTAGATTCCACATTATTTTCAGAATCTCAAGTTCCCAATTAATTCTTTTTTGAGTTTCAAGTCAAGGAAAAGCCAATATAAATTTATTTAAGTAAAATGGAATTTGGAAGTTACGCTGCTCAAAAGCCAGAGTTTAGTGAAGCTGAATCTAGGTGCTACAATGTGACCCTAGGCCCCGCTGTTGGGTTTTATTGCTGTCATTTCATTCAGACAGGGCATTACCATGCAGTGTCCACATGCAGTCACATCAGAGTAGTTCCCACTCATGGCCTCCAGACTGCAAGCTTATGTAAAAAGTGGAGCCACCCTCTATGTATAGACCAAGGAAAGTCCAGAGACATTGTCTCAAAGGCTCTGATTGGGTTACATGACCTCTTTCATGTTCAGCTAATTTGAGTAATCAACACCGGGCCATGTCCCTGTCTCTGGAGTTACAGGTGAAATTGACTTTGCTTGAAAAACAAAAAACAAAAAACATGGAAACAATTAGGGAGCAATGGTAACTTAAAGTAAATTTGGGGTTCCATTACTAGAAAAAATAAAGAAGTTCATTGGATGTGTAGGAAAACCCACAAAACCTATTATTGTGTGTACAAGTTTATTCCAGAATTTAGTTAGATAGTTGTGTAGTCTTTTCAGTATGACAATTGATTATTATGTCAACTAAAACATGATGAAGTGTCCTAAAAATGCACAAGGAAGTTGATTACAATTTTGCGAGAGTACCCATGCCATACTGTCTTCATTACTCGTAGTAATAGCTGAGTCTACTTACTTCTTTCACTCCATCCTCAGAAAAATATATATTCCATGGTTGAACAGTTCATTTTATTTAAAAGGGCTTTCAGAATAAATGTTTCCAAACTCTTGCAATTAATGACTAAAATGCTTATCTTAAAAATGATTCACTCATGTTTCCACCCATTCCGAGTGGTAATGCTGTTAATCACAGTTTTTTTTTTTGTTTTGTTTTTGTTTTTGTTTTTTTTTTTACCAAATATTTGAGCATATTATCTTTATCACATCCAAACTGAAAAAAGTATAATGTCTTCATATAATTACGCTATTTTTTTTCCTTTTAGTAGTTCTGTAGCCTCATAATGGTCTGGTGTTGCCTATTCTTTCACTTTGCCAATTTGGTTCCGAAAGATGTATCTTTATTTATTAAGAATATTAATATTTTCAAATGTATATATAATGAGGTTTATTTATTATTCAAGTACGACCTTAGTTTTGATAAGATGTGCATTTGAAATCTAATTTCTTATTAAAGGGAACTGAGTCTTGTTTAATCTTAAGCTAATTATATTAGTACTCTTGATTTCAATTGATAGAAATCCTTAAGGTAGCTTAAGAAATCATGGACATTGGTCAGGCACAGTGGCGCACACCTGTAATCTCAGCACTTTGGGAAGCCGAGGCAGGCGGATCATGAGGTCAGGAGTTTGAGACCAGCCTGACCAACATGATGAAACCCAGTCTCTACTAAAAATACAAAAATTAGCCAGGCATGGTGGCACACACCTTTAATCCAGCTACTCAGGAGGCTGAGGCAGGAGAATCACTTGAACCTGGGAGACAGAGGTTGCAGTGAGCCAAGATCGCGCCATTGCACTACAGCCTGGGTGACAGAGGCGAGACTGTCAAAAAAAAAAAAAATTATGGACATATACAAATCCCACACTCCAAAGAACATTTTAACAACCAAGCTCTTGAGAAAGGGGGCCAATGCATCTGAGAAACCATGACCTGTGTGCTCCCAAGGACTCTTTCCCAAATATATATATATATATATTTTTTTTCTGTTAAATCAATTTCTGCTTTTCCTTTGTTTGAGGTATGATTTATGCCCAGGCTAAGAAAGATACCAAAAACTCCAAGTTTTATTTTTAGTTTCTTTTCCCAGTGAAAAGTATTACTTTTGATATTAATCTGCTTACCAGTTCTGAGTCCAATTGAGTCAGGTACACTTGGTCCAAGCGATTTTACCAACAAGGCAATTCTCTCATACACTTAGGAAAGGAATGAGAACAGTTCAAAGCACTCAGCACTGAATGTTCTGATTTTTACATTAGCAATTTAAGATGGCATAGAATTCATCCTACCACTTCTTATTATTATCTTTACTTATAAATAATATATAAGAGAAAGGTAAAGGAACTTCTTCAGGCTACTATGGATCTACTTCACTATTTCCTTAAACCTGCTTCTATAGATTAACTGAAATGCATATCCAACGATTCCAATCATTCCAATTAAACTTTAAGAAAACTCAACAAGATTAAACACTATACCCAATAGAATTTTATTTAACCTGAATTTTCTATATTATTGCCTCAGTTTTTTCTATCATATTTGTCTAACTTGATTGTGTAAATTAAACAACCGATTTGTTTTCTTGTTTGTTTTGGCGAAGACATTTTCTAGGCAAAAATCTCATATTGGTAGAGAAAAATATTTAAAGTATTCAACACCTAATTGGCCATACTGGTAGTTTTCCATTGCAAAGTTATAAAGTAAATGGTTTCTATTTAGCACTGAAAATCACATCTCCTATGGTTCACATTTATGTTTCATCTAAGAACAGGTGGAAGAAATCTGCATGCCAAGAAACCACCCGTGGTATTCACAGTCTGAGAGCTTGAACTCAAAGGAGATCATTTGGCTTGTAAACAGCTTTACTTTTCATATAATTGACATGAAACTGGATCTACATCACACAAGCATGTCATAGCTTATTACACTCACACAACACAATATTGTAAAAAATGCTAGCAAATCATGCTTTTAATTTGTAATTCAGAATATCTAAATATAAATAATACATCATTAATAGTCAAGTATAAAATATGCAATTTTAGGAATCAATTAATACATTAGTTCTCACTAAAATTATAGCTCAAAATTAATGGTATGAATTGTTTCTTTTTAAGCTTTTGTGATGACATTAGGTACTACATGTATGTACTTCTATTATAGTTAAGTCTTAGGAAGAATTATCACATTCCAAAGTTAGCTCTAAGCACATTAGAAGTATACCATGTGACGGCCGGGTGGGGTGGCTCATGCCTGTAATTCCAGCACTGGGAGGCCGAGGCGGGCGGATCACGAGGTTAGGAGATCGAGACCATCTTGACTAATACGGTGAAACCCCGTCTGTACTAAAAATACAAAAAATTAGCTGTGTGTGGTGGAGGGCGCCTGTAGTCCCAGCTCCTTGGAGGCTAAGGCAGGAAAATGGTGTGAACCCAGGAGGCGGAGCTTGCAGTGAGGCGAGATCGCCCCACTGCACTCCAGCCTGGGCGGCAGAGCAAGACTCCGTCCCAAAAAAAAAAAAAAAATGTATACCGTGACAATGCAGATAGTTTTTTTCCAAGCAATTGAATAAGAAACATCTTTATGTTCATTTCTGGAACCTGTTCAATGATCCATAGAAGGTAGGGACACTATTTCCATGCACAAAGATGTCATAATTTAAACTATAATTGATAGAGACACATAAAATAATCATCACATGCTTTTTAAAACTTTAATTTCAAGTTTCCACAATGAACCTATTAAGCAACTTAGAACTCAAGATTAGCAAAAAATATGGAACTTCCTTTTATTTATGGGTATAACGCCTATGTTGTTACTGTTTTATATGCTCTTGGCAATTTCTCTTTCAAACATGCTCTTCATCAATAGAATTCCCTAAGGGCAATATTTTCTGGATTGGGATATAAGGTTAAGGTAATGATAATTATATATTCTGTTTTTTATATTATTTTAATGTTCTCTACCCTCCCCCAACAAAGAAAAACATATGTTGCCATTGTAAGCAAGAGGGTAAAGTAATTTAAAACAAGCTAAAAATATGTTGGTGATAATCTACACAAATATTAATAGTTCTCAATCCCAGCCGTAAGCTAATTTCTCACAGCAGGCCAAGGCACTCATATTTATTAAGCTTTTCTGCTGTTTGTAACCAAGACAATTTGAGAAACATTGTAGTGCTACATATTTATATTTGATTCCTAATATAACTTTTTACCAACACATTGTTTCATTCTCTCCCAGGCACAGCATTTGTGGGGGTTGTTAGTAAGATTCCGTGACTGAACTTTCCACGGGCTCCTCTGAGCCATTTCTTGGACTAGGTCTTGTCCTTGGCCCTTGACTTTAAGCCTGCACAGCCCAGTTGTAGCAAGAATCCTGCTTCAGTCAGTTTAGCAAGAATCCCCTTAATATTTCCTCTTAGTAATTTTCTACCCATTGCCTCCCTCCCCTTGGCTATAAATTCCTATTTGCCCTTGCTATACTTGAGATTGAACTCAGTTAAATACTGAAGTCTATTTTCTCCTATTGCAATAGTTTCTAAAAAATCTATCAGTATCACTTTAGTGTCCAGCTCTGGTTCTCATTGACATACCCCAAGGTTACTCACAATGTCTTCCTAATATGAGTAGTTCCATACATCTAGCTACAAATAAACATATAGTGGATTTCTCAGGATCAGAAAATCAAAACTTTGCATCTCAAATAATATTTAGTTAGATAACCTCATTTGATACCAAAGGAAAACAAAGCCCTGAAAGTGTATTGATTTTCCCAATGTCAGATAACACATTTGAAACTAGACTCTAAACACAAATCATGCAATTGCCAGTGCTGTGATATTTCCACAGTGTGGGTAACACACAATAAGAATTGATCTTGAAATTTTGGCAAATACATACAAACATTAATAGCAATTAACTCAGGATTAATATTTGAGGTCCTTTAAAGGAGAGGTTATAAAATACCAAGTGATATGCACCCAAAAAGCTGATCACAAACTCACTGGCAAAAGAAGTTACTATATAAAAGAAGGCCATCTTGAGAAAATGAAACAAAAATAAGGAAAGGAATAGCCTGGGTTTTGGGGTGGGAAGCAACTAGAATCAAGTTGTTAGAAACATGCATTTTTTCTTGTATAATTCCTTCACCTAGATTAGGAAGAAACAGGCTTCTAGATGTAGTGAAGGAACAATCAAAATCAAATTGTGGGCTGGGTGTGGTGGCTCATGCCTGCTATGCCAGCACTTTGGAAGGCCAAGGCAGGAGGATGGCTTGAGGCCAGGACTTCCAGACCAGCCTGAGCAACGTAGCAAGATCCCGTCTCTACAAAAGAGAAATTTAAAAAATTAGTCTGGTTTGGTGGCCTATGGTCCTAGCTACCTGGGAGGCTGAGGTAGGAGGATCGCTTGAGCCCAGAAGCTCGAATTTGCAGTGAGATGTGGTTACACCACTGCACTTCAGCCTAGGTGGCAGAACAAAACCATGTCTCTAAAAATATAAAGTAATTTAAAAAGAAATAATATTGTGTCTGATTCATGATCCCAGTTTAGATACTCAGAGTAGATTTCTCCAAGAGATGATACATACAATCATTGAGTAAATGGAACAAGATGAATATGATACGAAATGATAACAGGACAGAAAGTGAGCCTTCCAAGCTTATGGCTTCAGTTTCCAGTGCCCCATAGAAGTATATGACATGTGACTGCTAATTTTGCCTGGTAAAACTGATGAAGTAGTCATTATTGGTGGGGCAAGGTTACCAGTAGCTCAAAGACCATCTATTTTAAAAAATGGTAAATAGAAAATGTCCTCCCCAACTTTCTCCAAGGATACCTATTGCCTGGAATCTGTGAGTACGTACCACACGGCACGGCAAAGGGAATTCGGGGCTGTGATTAAGTTAAGGTTCCTGAGGCATGGAAATTATCCTGCATTATCTAGTTGGAGGCCAATGTAATCACATGAGTCTTGATTAGAAAAGGGTAAGTGAGAGTCAGAAAAAAAAGTAAGACAACAGAAACAGGGCGGAGAGAGAGAGAGATAATACACTCCTGCTGGCCACAAATCAAAGAATGCAAGGAACTTTTAACTGGAAAAGGGAAGGGAACCAGTTCTCCTGTAGAGCCCCCAGAAGAGACTTAGCCCACCCAACACTTTTAAGTTTGAACTTTGCTTTAGAACCCGAGATTTGTAAAATCATAATTTTTTATTGTAGTAAGCCAGTAAGTTTGAGGTACTTCATTACAGCAGCAATATAGAGACATCTTAGGAAGCACCGTCATCCCACAGGAGAGCACACACAGCATGGTGTAAAAATAAGATAGTTGGTGGGATCTAGGTAGGCTCTGGCCATACTAGAATAAGAAACCAGGAGGTCATCAGCCACAAATATTGTAGCCAAATCCCATCTGTGGGGAACAGACTAATAATATCTATCCCCACCCCTACCACAGTGGAAAACAATGCGGGGCCAGAGCACACATGCTGCTCTACAGACTCTTCTCATGGCTGGTATGAGATCATTCAAGCTTATTTCCTACACAACCCTGTGCTCACACACCATCTGGGCTAAGAGAAAGAGAAAGAAAAAGAGAATGAGAAAGAGAAAGAAATAGAATCAGCCAATAATAGAATTAACCATTAAAGTAACTGAACATTTAAAGGTAGCTGTCCTAAAACTGAGCATTTGTTTTGCATCCTACACCGTTGATTCCCCTCCTTATCTATTCCTAAGAGTTTCTGAGGATTAAATCAATTATTTTAAAAAATGAAGTTGCTAGATTTTCTTTGCTCATCAGAAAAATTTTTAAAAAATCAATAGAAGGGCTAAATTACATCAAAGAAATTGCTCATAAAATGACAAAAAGATGAAGGTATCGATTCAAAATATCAAGTCCTTACTATGTGCCAAAATGAATATAAGATGCAGACTCCACCATTGGTTCAATATGTTGACAAGAACAGATTTTTCAAAGTAAAAATGAAAAACCAAAAAATGGAAACATTTTTCAAAAGAAATTTTTTAAAAGATCATAAAAAAGCAGTCTTTATATTAGAATTGCCAAACGGAGTAAATATAATAACCTATACTGATACCTATAAAAATCATTATGAGTAACCAGAACAACAAATAAATCTGTAGAAGTTTTGGGTTTTATAGAGAAAATAGGTAATCTACAAAGTTGCAATAATTTAATGATACAGCAGGTTGTCAAATAAAGTAGTTTTGTTATAACTTTGATGAGAAAAGAAAATTATTTCTGGCTGGGGCCACTGCCTCTGTGGAGTTGGCACATTATCTTATGTCTGTGTGGGTTTTCTCTGGGTGTTTGGTTTCCTCCCACATCTCAAAGTTGTGCCTATTAGGCGAGTTGGTGTATTTACATTATTTCTGTCCAGGCTGGTTCCCACCCAGTGCTCTGAGCTACCTGGATTGCCTCCAACCACCTGCAACCCTAAAATGAAATAAGCAAATTAGAAATGTGTGAATGAATAAATTCCAATTATTATAAAACAAAAATTTGTAGGCAATAATCATACAAATTCCTGACAATAAATGATGTGGTCTGCATCATGGGTTAAAGAGAATATTGCCAGGAGGCCTTCACTTTTTTAGAAGGGCATCATTTGTTAGGTCCTTTTTCCATGGTTTGGAGTAAAATAAGCAATGATTAGAAAGGTATTCCTCATGATAAGCTTTATAGCAGATTCTAATGTAAAGGCTTTAGTTACACAGCAGACTTTAAATTTTCTTGTGAAAGTTATACTAAGTAATAGAATTGGCTAAACAGAGAAATATCTGTGCAGCTGCTCGCCCTTGTGGCCTGTGGAGAAATACATCAAATGAAGATTATATAGATTCAGTTGTAGGGAAGCAACAAAGAAACTGCTTTAAGTGGGTAAACTCTTTATCTAGCTTATTCTTTGATCTACTTGATTTTAGGTCACTTGGTTTATGGGAAATCTGGGTAGGGAGCATACTCCAAACTCTTGGTATTATCCTTCCAATAGTCATAGAATTAGTCTCCCTGGTGTGCTGTATTCTCTCAAAGTTTTAAATCTTTGCATGCATCCATCTCTAGAATGTTATTTGTTTATTAACAAGCATATATTTGTCTAAATAAATACATAAATATATGTGGTCTGAAAGGGCTTGGATAGTTGGGATTGTTTGTTTTTGAACTGTACAGTGGTAGAAGCTGCTCTGAGCAATGATCACTTTCCAAACATATTCCTTGTTTTACCCCCACACTTCTATGACTGCCATCACTCACTGATTCACCAAAAAATTTGGTACATAATTATCTTACTAGTTTCTATTAATTTCTCTTAAATGAATGTAGAGCTCACATTTATTTGAATGTTTAATATTAAAAGTACTTCTGACTTTTTATTGAGAAAGTGTTTTGGTGATGTTTTTGTGACCAGAAATATGCCGTATGAGGTTAACTCTTGTTTATGTCAATTAGCCTGTGGTAAAACTGGTGTCCTTATATAACATTACATTTAAAGTCAAAGTTTCCAAGAACCTATCAATCATATTAAGTGAAGACTTACTGTATTAGATTTCTCATTAATATTACTAAATCCTAGAGGACAGTGGTGATTGGTTTTCAAATACTGAAAGAGATATGCTTTTTCACTTCAAATTCTTTCTCCTACCAAATTATGTACCAAGTAGTGAGAACAGACTGATTAAACATACATTTTCAGAGCTGAAGGGATTTAGAAATTTTGCTTTGAATACCTATTATTAAAAATATATTAAAATATATTAAAGTGAGTATACATAGATAACTGAGGGATCAAATGAAGCAAGGTAAGGTAAAGGGTAAAGGAAACAAGTCTCCAACGAAGGAAGCAATGAGGGTTTGCAGGAACCTGATAAGAATTCTGCACAGATTAAAGCAAAAAAATTAAATATTCCAGGTGAGAAGTGGGTTTTGTTTGTTTGTTTTGCTTTGCTTTTAAAGGGGAAATAGAGTAGCATATTAGTCTGCTTTCATGCTTGTTGATAAAGACACACCCAAGTCTGGACAATTTACAAAAGAAAGAAGTTTAATTGGACTTCAGTTTTACATGGCTGGGGAAGCCTCACAATCATGGCAGAAAGCAAGGAGGAGCAAGTCACATCTTACATGGAAGGCGGCAGGCAAAAAGAGCTTGTGCAGGCAAAAAGAACTCCTCTTTTTAAAACCATCAGATCTTGTGAGACTCTTTCACTATCATAAGAACAGCACAGGAAAGACTGGCCCCCATAATTCAATCACTTCCCACTGTGTTCCTCCCATGACATGTGGGAATTGTGGAGTCTCAATTCAAGATGAGATTTGGGTGGGGGACACAGCCAAACCATATCAGGTAGTAAGGATGCCATAGACTGGGGTAGTATGGGAGTCAATTTGGAAAAAATATATGAGATATAATAAAGAGAGAGTATGAGAAAATAAGACATGTATGCATATATGTACACATACATCTACACATGTATATACACAGCAATTGGAAATTCCAGGGGGCAGATACATGGATATAACATGAAGCAAATCTTCCATACTGAAAAATAAAATGAATGATGTCAATAGAAAAGAATGGTTTCAAGCAATATCTAGAATAGAGAAAAGGTAAATAATATTTGAATAATAGGAAAAGAACCTATTTATTCTCTCAATATAAAACAACATCAGTAAGAAAATTCAGATAAAATCACAAACTGTATAGCAAAGACCTACTTTCAATATAAAACAAGTCAACATGTATCGTGACTTAGACAAATAAATGTAAGGAAAATTTCTTTTGAATTTATGCCAGGAATACCATCATTCAATAGGCATGATACTTAGGGCTGTTGAGAAGAAAATATAATAAAAAGAGCTTACTTAACTCTGCAGGAAATGACATATATTTAAGAATAATAATTTATACTTTAATTTTCTTTTAAAAGTAACACATAGACAAAAAAGCTTATAGTGTTGACATTACAGAATAAATATTATTTTCAAGACTATTTTCTTAGGCTGGGCCTTCTGAAAAGAGAGAGTAGCTAAGATGGAATTTGGGTGCAAGATGCTGATTGGGATCAAAACCTGTGAAATGAAGGGGAAGGAAAGATCTACACTTGGAACTTTGGTGTTCCTCATGAATAGCAAAGTTACAACATTAAATTTGAGAATTTAATAAAATGCAGTACTATATACAGAAGCAGGTCTTTAAAGGTTATGAATGATAGCTCCTACATTTTAAGTCTAGTTCATAGCTTTCTGTACTGAATTGAGGCCATGGTTAATAAATAATATTGAGTTTCATTATAATAGAGCTATTCTGGAAGAGAATGGATACTTATTCCTAAAGTGATTTTTATATCAATGTTATTTTCTTATATGAAAAATTGAGGTTATGTTTTAATATTAAATATTATCAGAAATCATCAGTAAAAAGTGTTGATATCTACATTTCTCTCTCGGTCCTTCCTTCTCTATATCTGTGTTCTCCTTGTAAAACAAACAAATAAACAAAAACAAAATAAAGCCCCCCAAATTCCGTAAAGTGTTATCTTTGAAACTTTCTCTCTGTTCATTCTACCATATCTGAATACCAGCCTTATTCCATTAAAGCTACTCTTGTCAACTTTGTTTGCCTGATCTAATAGCCACTTTACAAATATATATATATATATATATATATATATATATATATATATATATATATATATAAATGTAGCAGCATTTAACTCTCTGTACTATTCTCTCCTTTAAACATTCCTTCTCTTTGTTTCTAGAAGTTCACATCTATCTCATTGACTATTAGTTCTAAACCTTCTTTGCTGGATCCTGCATTGTAGAATGTGCTATGCTTGAGCCTCGTTGACCCTTATTTTCTGTAACTTATCCTAGATGAATTCATGCAGTCTTTTGTTTTCTTTATTATTTTAATTGACATATCATAATTGTATATGTTTATATGGCACAATATAGTTTGAAATATGTATACTCATCCAGTCTTACAGCTTAAATGTTATCCATTTATTAATTACTGCCACATTTAAATGTTCTGGTCTGACCTCACCTGTGAATTCAAGTCAGAATTTCCTAATACTTGTCAATACTTTCAATTTCAAGTCTATTAGCCACCTTAGAATTAATGTGTTCAAAACAGAACCTTGTCCTCAATTGAATGTGTTCCCGCCTAAGCATTTTTCATCTCAGTAAATAGGACTATCATCCAGACAACTATTAAAGGCAAAACTAGAATTCAATATGGATGTCTCCTAACTGATCCTCCTACATATAAACCATTAGATAATTTTGATAGCTTTACTTTCAAGCAAAAGGCAAAACAAACAAAACAAAACACGCAATTTTCCATTTACTTTTCTTCAAATTTATTGCTTCCATCCTAATTCGATTCAATTCAATCTAATCCATTCCAACATCATTTCTTATGGTGACTACTGATATTAGCATATATATGACCTTCTTGCTTCAATCTTTGCTCTGAAGATACATTGATGTTTCTTAATAAAAATTACATTGTCTTACTCTTGAGCACAGAATTATTGAATTCCAGTGCCCTTAAAAGAAAAACCAAATCCTTATCCCTTGCCTACAAGGCCCATTATGACTTGCCACTAGCTGTTTCACTGGTAGTGAAACATTTTACCTTCCCTTGACTTCCACCATATTTGCCTTCTTTCAGTTTCTTTGAATACACCAGAACTTCCTTCTTGGTGACTTTTCTGGAATGTCCTCTCTAAACCTTAACCTAATTCTATTTCTCTGATTATACATGTCTCCAAAGCTGTTCTTTCTCTTTTTATTGGCTTTCAATGCTTCCCTCTAGAATGCAGAATCTATAAGAACTAAGATCTTTGCTAATACACACAATTTTTAATTTCCATTGTCAAGAATTTTTTTGAGGCTGAAGGACACCATTCAGTAAATAATGCTGAACGTTAAATAGCTCTACCTGGTTGTGAAATAGTAAATGCTATTTTGCCTTCTAAATTGAACTGACGAAAATATTGTATGTTGTGCTAGAACTTGATTTGTCAAATGTGTTATTTTGAAAATATTAAAGAGAAAGAGGTGGTTTCTTTTAGAAAGATTTTTTTAATGCAGTCAGAAGATACATAAGAGAGGGGAGAGAAGCCCAGGCAGATGCTGAACATAATGTTTGAACATAATGCCTCCTTTATGAACAGCAGAGAAGTGCAAAGCTCTTATAGCAGAGTGTGATTTGGGAACTAACCAACAGACTCTGTGTGAGACTTTTCTATAAGCAGAGTATCCAAAGATGTTAAAACCTCTCTGGGAGATTGTCTCTCTTTTTCCCGATTCTCAGATGGAAAACACTGTTTTGAAGCTCTTCTTTATTCAGGCTGGCTAGTTTAGTTATTTCCAGTCTAGCGGATTATCTGGGGAAGTTATTTCCCAGAAATTTCTAAAAGACTAAAAGACGTAGAAATGTTACAGCTTGAAAGGTGACCCAGACCTCCATGACAGAAATAATTTCACCTGAAAAGTACTCTTCTCTAAAGTTGGGTTTACACTTTTCTAAAATAGGTTGTGCCAATTGGCACTGAAGTTGGAAAATTCTATTGGGGAGAAATCTCAGACCTGATGACTTAATTACAAGGCTTTGCCAGAACTTAGTTTTTAGCTTTTTGTTGGTATTTTGCCTAAAATTAGTAGTATTGAAAGAAAAAGTAATAACACTAAAATCTGAGTTAAAAATAAGAATAACAACAAAAAAGGATTTGTACAGCTAAGAAAAGTTGTTGTTTGGAGAAGCCATTTTTTCTCCCTTAATTCCCAGATGCTAGTCTGGTCATCCAAGCCAAATGAAAAGAATTGTTGGTAATTAAAAAGTAATTCACTGAAGTGAGTGCAGCTGTGGCAATGAGCTTTATTGCCAAACTCAGTGTGATCTATAGAAGCAAATCCTAATTTTTCAAGTGAAAAAAACATTATTTACTCATGAGGATAAGTCTGAAATGTTTATTTTCTTTATAAAAACTTTGGTGAATATATAGCAATGAAATTTTTCAAGAAGAAAGGAAATTTTGCCTAATAAGTACTAGTCTCAGGTATAAGTGAATATGAGCAATTATATACATACTACTCTAAGCATGTGAATATTAGGCAAATATTATTACCTATTTTATTCTTTGAGTGTAAATGGCTAGAAAATAAAAAGTCAGGAAAAGAATTAAAAAGGAACATTTAAATCATGTATTTATTTTAGCTTTTAAATATTGATACGTATTTTGAAATTTCCATTAAAATATTATTAAAGCTGTGAGAATTTTATTGATATTCTTTTGACATTTTCTTTACCAGACACAGTTATCATACCCCTCACACCAAATTTTCCTGCATGCCGAGTACCTTCCACACTGAGAGTAAATATGACCCTTAGTTGGCATCTCTCATATTTCTCTGGGCTGTTACTAACTTTGTCTTGTCAGAACTTTGAGCTTCTTTATGTTCTATTTTGGTATTTACTAAAATCTTGAAATTACATGAAAGCATTTCTGTCTCCTGCAAGATACTGCTACTTTTTAAAAGAGCAGGAAATATTTTCACCTACATTGTATATGCGCTAACTTCATACATCACATTTACTATATAGCAGGACCTTGGCACCCAGGAGAGTTTTACAAAAAGTAAATAGAGTGAAGAAAGAGTGAAATAATGATACATCTTATATAAATTTCTATAATTTATTTCTATTTGTATTATCAGAGTTTTGACAACTATATCAGTACTATTTTTAATGCATAAGAAAGATTAGTATATTATTACTTAAAGTCAATTACTTAGCAACAGGAGTTATTTGTTGCTGTTCATAAATTTGTTAAATACATGTAGGGACCTTTTTTTCCATCAGACTTATGCTCAAAGTATACAAGAGAATTCATTGGAAAACTGCATTAACGACAATTTACTTTTAAGCAATGTCTACTAGAATTTAAATATTCAGAGAACTGGTTCTTCTTCATCAAACTCTCTTCCCTCCTCTCTACGGAGAATACACTCCCAAATCGTTATCACTTTCTCTTAAACTTTAATTACTTCCCTTCATTGTATGTCACTACCATTTACCAGTGTGACCATACTTGTTGTTTATGATAATTGCGCATTCCAAGAAATCATTGCTCAGGCAGGCTAGTTGTTAAGTGTTTTGCACAGTTCACATTTTAAATAGACCAGGCAAGAGAAAATAGTATCCTGAACCAAAGGAGTAGTGGTAGAGATAGTAGTAAGTGGTAAGATTTTGCATTTGTTTTGAAAGTAGTGCCAACAGAAATTTGTTGTTGAATTGAATGTAAAATATGAGAGGAGTAAGAAATGCCAACACATATTTTGACCTGAGCATCTAAAAGATGATAATTGCTATTTGTGGAAATATTAAAATCTTACATTCTATCTGACCTAAGCGCAAGTTCCTAGCTGTTTGTGACCTATTGATTACAGCAGAATCTAAGCAAGAGTTATAGTGATTCTAAATTACAATAAAACCCCCATAATTCATAGCAAAGAATGTCTTTATGGTTAAAGAAGAATATATGATACGTTTTTTAAAATAAAATTTCACAATAAAAAGATTTAAGAACTCAAAAGGTATGCCTCTGGGTCAAAAATATATTTACTGAAAATTTATATCTATATCACTCAATTATTTTTTGTCATAACAATATCTATAAAACACATAAATGGAAATTAGGACTAATCTAGTTTACTC